>NC_000011.10:36878181-37029696 GCF_000001405.40 Homo sapiens | reverse complement strand
GAGATGAAGAAGACAGAAAAGACAGATGTGATGTATGCTCTTGTCTAGATTACATGCCAACTGGGGGAGACAGACAAACACAAAAAGATAATTACAAACTGTGTAAGTACAATAAAGGAAATAGCAGACTAAAGTGTTAGAGAGCTTCTGGTAGAAAGGATACTTAGAGGTTTTCGAGGAGATAATATTTTAGCTGAGACCTTGACTCTGTTTTAGACTACCCCTTGTTTTACAGATATAGAATATGTGGCCCACACTATGGAGGGGACAGATAGGACCCAGGCCTCCTGACTCCTGTTCTCTGTTAGTCCAGCCTCTTCCAGAGAAGGGAATACTAACTTATAAAGATATCTTTGTTTGTTTGTTTTTTTCATGCAAGAACACACAAAAGCATGAGGTCTATTCCAATTATTTTCTTCATAGTGAGACAAAAATTACTTGGGAAGGAGAATAGTAATAATGATGGCTAACATGTATTGAATAATTCTGCTCCATGTGTTGCAATAAGCAGTTTCTATTGTTCGATGTGAATCCTTCAAAGAAGAATGTCAGATATGAGTTATTGGAGGCAAAAGTGCACCAATGCTGAGGGAAGGGGACACAGAAATGGAAAAGGAAATCTGAGAGATCTGGGTGGAGCACCAACAGCAACCACTTTCAGTACACCCTTTGCACCACTCGATGGACTCACATTTTATCATCCTGTCATGGTTTCTTTAAGATGGCAGTTGTCATAATTTCTAGAGAAAACTAACAATAGGAGGGTAGTAATATGAACTAGCCTCTACTGCTGCATTTAGCTCTGAGGCCTTAGCTGATATTTATCATCTCCCTCCTCTACCATCCATTTGAGATTATTTTCATAGTTGGTGAACACTTGCACTGGTTTAGGTTGCTTGACAGGTGTGATGACCCAGATTTTTATTTCTGAGGGGTCAGGGTCCCTGGTTATGATGCCATCTATTCATAGTTAAAATGAGCAGGAGGGATGAGAAACACAAAATACATCAATTCCATCTTTTCAAAATATTATTTTCATTACATTATTAAATTTCTAGCAATGAAATGAAGATGAGAAAAAAATAAGAAGTGTTTCTTTTTGCCTCTGTGACTTTCGTTATTAAGCTTCTTTAACTTTACTATACATTTTCACAGGGAGGGGGAATTAGAACTGCTCTGTTTACTTCCCTAGAGGCAGAAATAAAACCATGAAGTTGAAGATACAGGAAGTGGATTCCATACAAAGGTTTATAAAGTTTGAAATAAATTGACACGAGAAGATATGAGTTTCTTATTCTCTTATGTTAATGTATCTCAGGAGAGAAGAAAACCCACTTAAAACACTTCTAACCCATGAGTCCAAGACTTTAAGAATTACTACTTCATTTAACTTCATGTGCAAAGCCAAGGAAATCTAGGTAGATAGAAGGAAAATGAATATGACATTTATGTTCTATATCTAGTTTTTCCCAAACCAGAAATATACAAGAGGAGCTCATCATAAAATGAAGGTAAAGCAAAAAGGATTTAAGTTAGTTCAATTTTGTACTCAGATGTCTTTCAACTACCAACTCGGAAACCTTGCCATTTCGAGATAAAAAAAGTATAATAAGATACTATATAAGATAAATAAATAAGATTTATAAGATATAAGTAAACTATTAAAGAAATGCAAACATTAATCTTAGAAAGTAGGCCACTTGCAGTGGCTCAAGCCTGTAATCCCAATACATTGGGAGAGCAAAGCAGGAAAACTGCTTGAGCCCAGGAATTCGAGAGCAGCCTAAACAACAGAGTGAGACCTCTCTCCAAAACACAAACATTTAAAAAAAATTAGCTGAACACAGTGGCACGTGCCTACAGTCCCAGCTACTTGGGAGGCTGAGGTGAGAGGATCACTTGAGCCCAAAAGTTCGAGGCTGCAGTGAGCTGTGATCACGCCACCACTGCACTCCAGCCCAAGTGACAGAGCGAGACCCTGTCTCACAAGAAAAAAAAAAAAAAAGAGTTATCACACTGGATTGTCTAAGAAACCAGAAACAAGGTGCATTTCCTAAGAGCTCTGTCCGGGGTTTGATCTGCCCCATACAAAACAAACACTTCACTTCTCATTGAATAGAGTGAAATGAAGCTTCCTGGAAAATGGAAAAGACACCTAGGTGTGTAGTGGTAATGAACAGGAAGTCAAGAAACAAAGTCCAGACACTGCCACTGTGTAGTGATTTGAACTTACACAAACATATTACCTCTCGGGATTTGGACAATACGATCTCTAGCTTCTCTATAAGTTTTAATATTCTGTGTTTCTAAGTGCAGCTTCAGATAAGTCTTGTGATCTAATTGCAGAAATCTATATCTAAGCTGTCAGTTCTTGAGAAAACGCACAATTATAAACAGTCCTAAATTGTTAGGCTACCTCAATTGAGAATTCTGCCCTATTTTTAGCACTGGAGGAGAAACAATGCTTCTAACATTTATAATTTATTTCATAAGAACCTTTAAGCTTTAAAATTGTCACACCTCTGTCATAATGATAAACACTCATTTCATTCATACACATAAAATTAGCATTTATTCTGGCTTGTGAGCAAACTCCAATCATTTTAATTGTTGGGGAATCATAGTAATCTTCCCTACGTACATTGCATTTCTGAATTCTGTAAAATCTTCTTTTGTATTGTCAATGAAAAGAGTTAAACTCTGTAAAATATTTGAAGGGATTTATTGTGAGTGAAATAGGAGTGGCCACGGCTCATGACACAGCCCTCAGGAGACCCTAAGAACATGTGCCCAACGTATTCTGGTTGCAGCTTGATTTTATACATTTTAAGAAGACATAAGACATCAATCAAATACATTTAAGCTATACATTGGTTCGGTCCAGAAAATCAAGACAACAACTCGACATGGGGGGACTGTGGGGCTTTCCTGGTTATAGGTAGATTTTTTAAATTGTCTAACTGGCAATTGGTTGAAAAAGTTATTATCAATAGAAAGGAGTATCTGGGTT
The DNA here is from genome assembly GCF_000001405.40 of Homo sapiens. NCBI lineage: Eukaryota > Metazoa > Chordata > Mammalia > Primates > Hominidae > Homo > Homo sapiens. The sequence continues at coordinate 37,026,686 of NC_000011.10, read as the reverse complement.
ATGATAAGAGGTTGTGGAGACCAAAGTTTTATCATGCAGATGAAGTCTCCAGTTACCAGGCTTCAGAGAGAATAGATTGTAAATGCTTCATACCAGACTTAAGGTCTGTGCTGATGTTGAATGCTGGTTGGGTTTTCCTGAATTCCAGAAGGGAGGAAGGCATAATGAGGCACGTCCAATCCCCTCTTCCCATCATGACCTGAACCAGTCTTTCGAGTTAACTTCAGAGTGCCCTTGAGGCATTTCCAGGAGGAGGGAGTCCATTCAGATACTTGTTGGTGGGGGGAGCTTTGAATTTTATTTCTGGTTTACAGTAAGTATACTGAGTAGGAAGGACATATTCGAACATTTTTCATTCCATATCAGGTTCACACGGACCTATTTCTCTTTGAAAAAAAGATTGTTCCTTTTTAGTACAAAAAGATTAGGTAAATATTCAAATACAGCAGATTGCAAATTGACTGCTGTTGATCAAGCAGGTCTCAGCTTAGGCATCACTTCTTGCCAGAAGTCTGCAAAGGCACCTTTATTTAACACAATAGTTCTCACCTGTATGCAATTTTGCTCCTTTCCCCAGGGGACATTTGGAAATGTCTAGAGACATTTTTGTTTGTGAAAATGTGGGAGGAGGGTACTACTAGCAACTAGTGGGTAGAGGCCGGGGCGCTGCTAAATATCTTACAATGCACAGGGCAGCCATCCCAACAAAGAATTCTCTGTCCCAAATGTCAGTAGGGCTGCTATTGAAAAACTGCAATTTAACCCATGGTAGCACTTACCATACTGTATTAGCTTTGCATGGTTCCTGCTCCTGTACAACAAGAACATGCTTTGTTTTTCATTATGTTTCCTGTGTACCTTGTATGCATTAGATAGACGGTAAAAATGAAATGACTGGCTGGCTGAGTGAATAAATGAAGTTACTAATTATACACAAATGAAGGAAACAGAAACAAGACCACAGCATTTTTATTGTTAATAAAATATTTTTAGATTGTCTAGTTAAAATGTTCACAGTTTACAAAGCACTTTAAAATCATTATTGTGCGTGATCCAACGACGCAGCTAAGCAAGTAGAGCAAAAATTATTAACCTCATTTTTACAAAGAAGACGCTGATTCTCAGAGGAGTTAAGAGGCTTGCCAAATGTAAATGATAAGAAGTGATCCAGCTTTGGAGGTTTTTCACAAAGCCCTTATTGATTTGTAACAACATTTAGGCACTTGGCAATAATCACTTAACTGTGGAGTGGATGTTACAGGATCTCTTTAGTACTTCCAAAGAGGAGAAGTTTTACCTTTGGGCTATAAGAACCTAATAAACCACTCAACTTCAGCTAACAAAAGCAAGCAAGTGTCATTAAGAAAAAGATAGCTACTGGCTTTTAGAAGAGTTGGCCTAATAATACAGTACAATTATAGGATAATGTGTCACTTGGCAATTCCCTTACAGGTAGCTTAAAGATGCCAAGAAAATGGCTTAAGTCATGACTAAAACAAATCATTCCTTGTTAAACCCCAAATCAGCCAGATTTCCTGCACACTTAGAACACAGAATATGTAGAAGGTGGATTTCAAAACAGATTCCCTAGATTTGAAACCCAACTCTGCAACTTACTATTTCTTTGGGCAAATACCTTAACATCTATGTATGTACCTTCATTTACTTAACTGTAAAGTGAGTGGTATAATAATAACCATCTCATAGGATTGTTGAGAGGGTAAACTTTCATATACATGAAGCATTTAGAACAATGCCTGACATGGAGCAACTGCCCAATAACTAACTTTCTTTTCTTTCTTTCTATAATTTTTTTCTTCTCTTTCTCCTTCTTTCTTTCTTTCTCCTCCCCACCTCCTGCCTCTCCTCCTTCTCCACCTCCTCCGCCTCCTCCTCCTCTGCCTCCTCCTCCTTTTCCTTCTTCATTTCTGTGCATTTTTCCATGTAAAGAATTTCCTTGGAGATAGATAAGCCACATCAACATGCAATATGTTTATGTTTCTCACATATTTCAAATGTGTGTTTCAGAATCTACAAATCAACTTTGACTCATGAAGTGAATATTTGTACTTCTTGGCTCCCCAGCATCCTACTCAACTCCACTTCTTTGGCAATAAACCCAGTTCTTTTGTGGAGATTGGCTCACTTAGGTGGTGTACAATTGTTATGGAACTATATATAATGGTGTCCTGCTCTCTTACAATCTCAGGGTGGGGGGATGTTGGATCCAAGTTTAATGCATGGACTTTTCTTCCAGGGACTCTGAATCTTGAAATGAAAGATATAAACACCAAAAACAAACACAAGAATTCTAGAATCTATTTGTTACAGTAACAACTACATGAGGAGACTGGCAAGTAAATAATTCCTGCTATCTAAACTTTAGAAGCCATCCTGGTACCTGGCTGTATTAGGTTATCATGGCTGCTATAACAAAGTATTACAAAGTGCGTAGCTTAAACAACAGAAATGTATCATCTCACAATTCTCGGAGCTAGAAGTCCAAGGTCATGGAATTGGCATAACTGGTTCCTTCTGAGGGAAAAATCTCTTCTGTTCCCCTCTTTCCTAGCTTCTCGTGGTTGCCAGCAACATTTGGCATTCCTTGGCTTGTAGATGTCATAGTCCAACCTATGCTTGGTGCCCATACAGCATTCTTCCTATGTGTGTTTCTTCACATGGCATTCTTTTCTAAGGACACCAGTAATATTGGATTAGGAATCCACCCTGCCTGGTATGACCTCACCCTAATTTAACTAATTAATCTGCAATGAGTCTATTTCAAAGTAAAATTACCTTCTGAGCTACTGGAGGTTATGACTTCAACAAATGAATTTTGAGAGAACACTAATCAACTCATTACACTGGCCTTTATACCTTTGATAGCACTAGTACCATCACTATTCTGTGAGCTGTTCAACTTTCTTCCAATAAATTTCTTTCCTTAGTAACGATTTCCTTCTTAGAGTCTATTTCTGTTGCTTGCCACCAGAAAATCCTAACTGCCACAAGTCATATCACTGATAAGTTTAACCTCAATAAAATTGTTTTGCTGGTAGTTTATTATTCAAAATAAAATTGATACTTTTCATGTTACCTAGAATTAGCTCACACTATGCAGGAAAAAGACAAATTGTATAGCTTAAAATTACTGGAGCAAACCTAAGTAAATTATATTACTAATTGTAACAAAATAGAAAAACATAGGTATGAAATACAGTGTGCACAATTTTTCATATTTCAGGTTGAGAAAAAATTGAAAGTCATGTTTATCTCTAAAGAAGACAATTATGATGGGAAACTGTCTCATGGATTTTTTTTATTGATATTCAAATTAGTGCAACCATTTTGGAGGACAACAATATCTTTCACTACCTTTGAAGTGTGTACCCTTCAATCTTGCAAATATATTTCTAGGAATTTATTCTACAATAATACCTGTGCACATGAACAAACATTTGTAAAGAATGTTTTTTGCAGCTCTGCTAATAAGAGTAAAATGTTGGAAAAATATAAACACTCAAGATGTATTAAAAAGTTAAAAATTAGGTAGATTTACATGCACTTTTATGAAAAAATGTTTTCGTTGTCAAAATAAAAAGTTGAAGACTGCTATATGCAATGATGTTCTTCTATTACAAAATAAAAATTCTATAGGCATATGTACCCATATATATGTATATTTATAAACATATCTAATGGGGGACCTGCAGTTATAGTCTAAAACAGTTAATAGTGCGTCCATGACAGAGTGGAACTGGTTACAAGAATGCTCAGGGATCCTTTTGTATTTCAGTTTACATATTTCTAATTTTTTTACAATGCACATATATTTCTTGCATAAAAAATAAATTAATGTCGTTCATATCTAAATAATAAAAGAGCTCTTTTAAAATAAATTCTCTTTGCCTCACCAGTCTTGACCTATATAATGTTAATTATAATCTCATGTACATGTATGCAAACATAAAATAAATCTAGGAGGCATTAACTCATTAAGCTAAATCGAATGCAAAATAAAAAATAAAATTTTGTTTTAACTAAAGTAAAAATTTGATACTGGATCATCAATTTTTGGTTTAACAGCATGTGGTAAACATAAGCTACACCATCCAGGTCACCTTTCAAGAAAGGAATTACTGACCAGCTGTGAAGAGTGTAGTCAGCAAGCAGGTTCCAGCTGTCACCTTCTTCAAGGTTTGCCTCAGTTGTAGCCCCCTGACTCAAGGTCACGCCTTTCCTGGAGCAGCCTGTATCTCGTGAGAATGGGTATAAAGGCCCACCATTCAGCTTGATACGGGACAGCTCTAACCATCAGAGCTTGCCAAGGGATCCCTGCCGGGGTGGCTGAGATATAATTGGTCTGCATCACCGTTCATCTCCTTCTTCTTCCCACACCTGTCTTCTTCCCCTTTCTTTCACAGATAATGATCCCAAATAAACATCTTGCACCCCAAGCACTGTGCTTCCAGAAAATTTAATCTGCAACACAGTAGAAAAATGCAGTCTGTGGTTCTCTAATTTTTACTTTGATAACATTAATACCAGGAATGGATATTTACTTAACAACACTTAACAGTATTAATAACATCGAGCCTATATTTGCTATTCAATAAAACAAAGAGTAACTTGTGTGCTTAATACAATTCTTTTTTGTTACCATTACTTAGTGATTCAGCTGTGCCCAGTAGTTAAAAGCTCCAACAGCTCATCTTCCCATTATGTAGAAGAGAAAATCTCTAATGAAATATTATACTAAAGAAGATTCAGAGCAAATGGAAACTCTGCAAAAACATAAACAATTGCTGGGTGAAAATATTGCACTAAACAGGCAGTTATTTCAATGAGGCATTATACCAGCTACCAATTATTTCATAAAACATTGCATGCAACATGGACAACAACTCAGAAACATACCTCACAGGATAATTATTCAAGGCTACTCAATAAATGTTTACTCCAAACTGGCAATTATTTCTTTAATGATGATGATACGCATGCAGAAGGAGTTTGCAAAAACAACCATGAATAGATATGTTGAAGGGAACCTACGCTTCTACCAGAGTCTAAGGTTAGAAGGCTTTTAAGAAGATAAACAAGAAGAGCTAACTATCCTAAATATATATGCACCCAATAAAGGAGTACCCGGATTCATAAAGCAAGTCCTGAGTGACCTACAAAGAGACTTAGACTCCCACACAATAATAATGGGAGACTTTAACACCCCACTGTCAACATTAGACAGATCAACGTGACAGAAAGTTAACAAGGATACCCAGGAATTGAACTCACCTCTGCACCAAGCGGACCTAATAGACATCTACAGAACTCTCCACCCCAAATAAACAGAATATACATTTTTTTCAGCACCACACCGCACCTATTCCAAAATTGACCACATACTTGGAAGTAAAGCTCTCCTCAGCAAATGTAAAAGATCAGACATTATAACAAACTGTCTCTCAGACCACAGTGCAATCAAACTAGAACTCAGGATTAAGAATCTCACTCAAAACCGCTCAACTACATGGAAACTGAACAACCTGCTCCTGAATGACTACTGGGTACATAACGAAATGAAGGCAGAAATAAAGATGTTCTTTGAAACCAATGAGAACAAAGACACAACATACCAGAATCTCTGGGACACATTCAAAGCAGTGTGTAGAGGGAAATGCATAGCACTAAATGCTCACAAGAGAAAGCAGGAAAGATCCAAAATTGACACCCTAACATCACAATTAAAAGAACTAGAAAAGCAAGAGCAAACACATTCAAAAGCTAGCAGAGGCAAGAAATAACTAAAATCAGAGCAGAACTGAAGGAAATAGAGACACAAAAACCCTTCAAAAAATAAATGAATCCAGGAGCTGGTTTTTTGAAAGGATCAACAAAATTGATAGACCGCTAGCAAGACTAATAAAGAAGAAAAGAGAAAAGAATCAAATAGATGCAACAAAAAAATGATAAAGGGGATATCACCACCGATCCCACAGAAATACAAACTACCATCAGAGAATACTACAAACACCTCTACGCAAATAAACTAGAAAATCTAGAAGAAATGGATAAATTCCTCGACACATACACCCTCCCAAGACTAAACCAGGAAGAAGTTGAATCTCTGAATAGACCAATAACAGGCTCTGAAATTGTGGCAATAATCAATAGCTTATCAACCAAAAAGAGTCCAGGACCAGATGGATTCACAGCCGAATTCTACCAGTGGTACAAGGAGGAACTGGTACCATTCCTTCTGAAACTATTCCAATCAATAGAAAAAGAGGGAATCCTCCCTAACTCTTTTTATGAGGCCAGCATCATTCTGATACCAAAGCAAGGCAGAGACACAACCAAAAAAGAGAATTTTAGACCAATATCCTTGATGAACATTGATGCAAAAATCCTCAATAAAATACTGGCAAACCAAATCAAGCACAGCACATCAAAAAACTTATCCACCATGAACAAGTGGGCTTCATCCCTGGGATGCAAGGCTGGTTCAATATATGCAATTCAATAAATGTAATCCCGCATATAAGCAGAACCAAAGACAAAAACTACATGATTATCTCAATAGATGCAGAAAAGGCCTTTGACAAAATTCAACAACTCTTCATGCTAAAAACTCTCAATAAATTAGGTATTGATGGGACGTATTTCAAAATAATAAGAGCTATCTATGACAAACCCACAGCCAATATCATACTGAATGGGAAAAACTGGAAGCATTCCCTTTGAAAACTGGCACAAGACAGGGATGCCCTCTCTCACCACTCCTATTCAACATAGTGTTGGAAGTTCTGGCCAGGGCAATTAGGCAGGAGAAGGAAATAAAGGGTATTCAATTAGGAAAAGAGGAAGTCAAATTGTCCCTGTTTGCAGATGACATGATTGTATATCTAGAAAACCCCATTGTCTCAGCCCAAAATCTCCTTAAGCTGATAAGCAACTACAGCAAAGTCTCAGGATACAAAATCAATGTACAAAAATCACAAGCATTCTTATACACCAATAACAGACAAACAGAGATCAAATCATGAGTGAACCCCATTCACAATTGCTTCAAAGAGAATAAAATACCTAGGAATCCAACTTACAAGGGATGTGAAGGACCACTTCAAGGAGAACTACAAACCACTGCTCAATGAAATAAAAGAGGATACAAACAAATGGAAGAACATTCCATGCTCATGGGTAGGAAGAATCAATATTGTGAAAATGGCCATACTGCCCAAGGTAATTTATAGATTCAATGTCATCCCCATCGAGCTACCAAGGACTTTCTTCACAGAATTGGAAAAAACTACTTTAAAGTTCATATGGAACCAAAAAAGAGCCACATCGCCAAGTCAATCCTAAGCCAAAAGAACAAAGCTGGAGGCATCACACTACCTGACTTCAAACTATACTACAAGGCTACAGTAACCAAAACAGCATGGTACCGGTACCAAAACAGAGATATAGATCAATGGAACAGAACAGAGCCCTCAGAAATAACGCCACATATCTACAATTATCTGATCTTTGACAAACCTGAGAAAAACAAGCAATGGGGAAAGGATTCCCTATTTAATAAATGGTGCTGGGAAAACTGGCTAGCCATATGTAGAAAGCTGAAATTGGATCCCTTCCTTACACCTTATACAAAAATTAATTCAAGATGGATTAAAGACTTAAACGTTAGACCTAAAACCATAAAAACCCTAGAAGAAACTTAGGCATTACCATTCAGGACATAGGCATGGACAAGGACTTCATGTCTAAAACACCAAAAGCAATGGCAACAAAAGCCAAAATTGACAAATGGGATCTCATTAAACTAAAGAGCTTCTGCACAGCAAAAGAAACGACCATCAGAGTGAACAGGCAACCTACAACATGGGAGAAAATTTTCGCAACCTAATCATCTGACAAAGGGCTGATATCCAGAATCTACAATGAACTCAAACAAATTTACAAGAAAAAAACAAACAACCCCATCAAAAAGTGGGCGAAGGACATGAACAGACACTTCTCAAAAGAAGACATTTATGCAGCCAAAAAACACATGAAAAAATGCTCATCATCACTGGCCATTAGAGAAATGCAAATCAAAACCACAATGAGATACCATCTCACACCAGTTAGAATGGCAATCATTAAAAAGTCAGGAAACAACAGGTGCTGGAGAGGATGTGGAGAAATAGGAACACTTTTACACTGTTGGTGGGACTGTAAACTAGTTCAACCATTGTGGAAGTCAGTGTGGCGATTCCTCAGGGATCTAGAACTAGAAATACCATTTGACCCAGCCATCCCATTACTGGGTATATACCCAAAGGACTACAAATCATGCTGCTATAAAGATACATGCACACGTATGTTTATTGCAGCACTATTCACAATAGCAAAGACTTGGAACCAACCCAAATGTCCAACAATGATAGACTGGATTAAGAAAATGTGGCACATATACACCATGGAATACTATGCAGCCATAAAAAATGATGAGTTCATGTCCTTTGTAGGGACATGGATGAAATTGGAAATCATCATTCTCAGTAAACTATCGCAAGAACAAAAAACCAAACACCGCATGTTCTCACTCATAGGTGGGAATTGAACAATGAGAACACATGGACACAGGAAGGGGAACATCACACTCTGGGGACTGTTTGGGGGTGGGGGGAGGCGGGAGGTGGAGGGATAGCATTAGGAGATATACCTAATGCTAAATGACGAGTTAATGGGTGCAGCACAACAGCATGGCACATGTATACATATGTAACTAACCTGCACATTGTGCACATGTATCCTAAAACTTAAAGTATAATAATAATAAAATTAAAAAACATTTAAAAAAAAATCTAGTTGAAATTTAAAAAAAAAAAAAGAAGATAAACATAAGTGAAAAAAGAAATTCTTTTTAGCTGGGTGCAGTGGCTCACGCCTGTAATCCCAGCACTTTGGGAGGCCAAGGCAGGCGGATCACCAGATCAGCAGATTGAGACCATCCTGGTGAACACGGTGAAACCCCGTCTCTACTAAAAATACAAAAAAATTAGCCGGGCGTGGTGGCGGGCACCTGTAGTCCCAGCTACTGGGTGGGCTGAGGAAGGAGAATGGCGTGAACCCGGGAGGCGGAGCTTGCAGTGAGCCGAGATCGCCACTGCACTGCAGCCTGGGCGACAGAGCGAGACTCCGTCTCAAAAAAAAAAAAAAAAAAAAAAAAAAAAAAATCGTTTTTGCTGAACAAGCTCTTTCCTCTACATTTGTTCATTTATTTTATCAATTTATTCATGAAATATGTGTTACTTACTTTATCTTCTAAACTATTGGGATAAAGAGATAAACTCAAGAAGGAGTTTACGATAATTTGGGAAGTGTGTTGCAAGAAAGATACAAAAACTTGTCCCTGTTCCTGTCTTTCCAAGTCCATTCCTACCACTCTTCCCTTCTGTCAGCCAACTCTAGATCATTTTTATTTTCTCAACTTTCCAAATTTATCCCTAGGTAGGCTGTTTTCCTCTGCTGTCTCCTCTATATTTGTACTGTCCAATATAGTAGTGACTAATAATGTGGCTATTGAGTCCTTGAAATGCAGTTTCCCTGAATTGAAATGTGCTATAAATTTAAAATATTCATTAGATTTTAAAGATTTTGCACAAAAGAGACCACAAATAATGTGCTAATATTGTTACATTAATAAATAATATTTTGTAAATATTGGGCTCTATAAAATACATTATTAAAATTAATTTTACCTTTTTTTTAGTGTGACTACTAAAAAGTTTAAAATTATATAGTGTTTCGTATTTGATTTTAATGACAGATCTGGTCTAGAAAATTCCAACCTATTCATGCTTGTGTCTTCGCATTCCAGTGTCAGTTTATTGTCCTCTCTTCAAAGAAGCTTTTTCTGACCACCATTCTAAAGAAGACACATCAGCTTCACCCACCTAGTCACTCTCATATTACCCTTTATTGTGCATTTGTTAAAAAATAATAACATGAAATATACCTGAGAAAAAATTTTAAATGTATAGTACAGTGTTGTTAACTACATGTACATTGTTGTATGGCAGATCACTAGAACTATTTTATCTTGCATAGCTAAAACTTTATACCCATTGTACAGCCACCTCCTATTTCCCTCTTTCCCTGGCCCCTTTCCTCAGCCCCTAGCAACCACAATTATACTTTCTACTCTTATGATTTTGACTGCTTGAGATATATAAGTGAAATCATACAGTATCTGCCTTTCTATAACTGGCTTATTTCACTTAATATCCTTAAGGTTTATCCATGTTTTCACATATAAACAGATGTCCTTCTTTTTTAAGGTTGAATAATATTTTATTGCTTATACACATGTACACATTTTCTTTATCTATTCAATCATCAATGGACACTTAGATTGTTTTCACCTCTTAGCTATTGTGAATAATGCTGCAATGAACAGCCACTATAGAAAATAATATGTTGGTTCTTCAAAAAATTAAAAATAGAACTACAATCTGATTTGGCAATTCCACTTCTGGGTATTCATCCTAAAGAATTGAAATCAAGATCTTGAAGAGATATTTCCACATCCACATTCAAGTAAGTTTTTCCTTAGCATTTATTATTGTCTGACATTATCTTGCTGATCCATTTTTTTTTATCATCGCTACCAGAACTTAAGCCCCCTGAGAACAGAAACCTTATACATCTTCTTCACCGTTGAATACACAGCTACTAATACAATGCTTGCCACTTACTAGGTGTTCAAGAAATAATTATTGAACAAGTGAATAAAGATGCAATGCAAGTCTAAATAAAGGAGGGCATCCCAGTCTACCTGTGAAGACAGAGGAGGGAGCACTCACGATTGAGAGTAGTTGGCTAAGTTCACAACTCAGAGGAGATTTCATTCATTCTTCTATCCAGCCAGCCATCTTTCTACCACTGATCCATTTACTCAGAAGATTTCTTTGAGGCACTGTACTATTGACCAAGGAATGCAGTAGGAAATAAAATTAACTGGGCCTCTGACATTAGGTATTTTACAATCTAGATGGAGAAATAAACTAATAGAAATAGTTATTTATTGTATAAACAATTATTTAATATTTAATTATAATGTTGATGAGTGCTAGAGAGGGCAAGGAGTCTAGGAAGTCAGAAAAGGTTTCCATGGATAAGCAACATTTATGCTAAGATCTGAAAGATAAGTGAGCCTCAGCAAAGCTCCAAAGAGACAAGAAAGAAAGAGAAATTAGGGGAAAAATAATTCTGTTCTGCTGGGGCACAAAGTATATATATGAGGCAGATAGAATGGCCAACAGAAATGTAGATAATTTTATAGACAAAATATTTAATAAGCTAAATGAATATATGTTTATGTAGAAGGAATTATTCAACAGTGACCCTAAACTTTGAAGTTAATGCCACATGACACTGGGCCAATGATGAAATTTAGGAGTATTGGATTGAAATGAACGTGACTAGCCTCACTTTTTAAAATTGATCAAATAAAGTGTAAGAGAAGTTTATTTATAGAAGGTTTGAAGGTTTGAAAAATACCACTAAAAGAAAGTTAAAATTATCCCTGATCATACTTTCCAAACATAAGTACCATTAAGTTTTTGGTTCACCTACCTCAAGGGTTTTTTTTAAATACATATATATGTATATTATTTACAAAATGGCCTAACTATAGCAATTTTTATGTTCTTATGGATACCTCAAAGAATAGTAGGACCAATGACCTGAGAACACCTGTAACTAACTCTCATTTTTCTAGGAATATAAATGATAATCAGAATTTGTTTTTATGTACTATATTCTCCCCTAAAATTGAGAAAGTAAAATCAGTAGTTTTCATGACATTTTCACAAAACCAGTAATGTCGCAGGAAGTCTTTGATTTAAATCCAAAGAAAGATACTGTTCCTTCTTCCAAATATATGGCCGGACACTTAGAATATTATAAAGTCTTGCTATAAATAATTAAATGTAACCTGCCTATGCCTCCTAGTAAAATATATGAACCAAATATATTTATGGGATGCAGTACCTAAGCTGATTATCATGTACTTATTCCCTTACCTAATCAAGACTGGTTTTTAATTCAAAACAAATGTCACAATCTTTACAGTAAAGGAAAATTAATAAGCATGAATAGTCTGTAACTCTAACTTTAAAAAAGTAAAGCATTTCAATCAAACAATTCCCAGTCATACTGTATTCCTCTCAAAATTGACCATTTTGGGAATTAAAACATTTAGCTCTTGATAATTTTCTATATTGTATGCTTCCCAAGAATGAAAAAAATATAGTTTGTTACTCAAAACTTTTTATTTTCTTAACTATAGCACTTATCAGTTGGCAACTATAATTAAGTTGGTAAATTAAAGTTCCCATTTTTCACCTATTCATGTCATCACACACTTCACTGTATAACTTTGCAGTGTTCTCCTGTTCTAACTGAATATTCTGCCCCACTCCTTGACTCTGATTCAGTCATGTCAACAAGCAAATGTGAAATAAACAATGGCTTCATAAAGTATTTGCATATCTTGACTTGCTCTGTCGGTTGTCTGTGATTGCCACAAATACACGTTTCAGCTAACTTGCTGGAGTAGAGCTGCATAGTTCCAGTAATCCCAGCTAAGGCTATCCTAGATGAGCCCAAAGCCAGATGATGCCCTGGAAGTGAGCACACACCAGACTCAAAGAACTGCCAGACTAATTGTAACCTATATTGTCAACTTGCAGACTCAGATTTGTAAGCAAAACAGTGGGTTGTTCTAAGCCACAGAGCTTTGGGGTGATTAGTTACACAGCATTATTGAGGCAATGGATGACTGACACTACAACTATACCCTAAAGTAACAAACATCTTCACAAGTATCATTATTTTTACTTCTCAAAAGAAGACAAAATATATTGGAAAGGCAAAAATTAATAAATATCATTTTTCTTTCTAAATAAATAATTTTTACAAAGAAATACCTCTGTCATGAAATGCAATTAATCTACTTGTGAAGGTAAAGTTAAAATCCTACTCATCATAGTATTTTGGCCAGTTCCAAGCTTCTGTGATGAGTGTACAGACAGAGAAAAAGACTATTACTCCTATTGACTCATAAAGTTATTTTAATAATTCTTCCTCTTTCAAGTTGGTTTTTCTTAAAACTAAAAGCAATACATCTGGTCACCTATTTGAAGTTAATTTGCTCAAGCACAGGCAATGGAGAGATGTTTAGAACAACAGTGCTAATAGACATTCTAAAAGTATGATGCCACTATTGCACTATTGTATTAGTCCATTCTCATACTGCTAATAAAGACATACCCAAGACTCAGTAATTTATAAAGGAAAGACATTTAATTGACTCACAGTTCAACATGGCTGGGGAGGCCTCAGGAAACTTACAATCATGGTGGACAGGGAGGCACACACATTCTTTTTCACATGGTGTCAGGAGAGAGAAGTGCCCAGCAAAAGGGGGGAAAACCCCTTATAAAACCATCAGATCTTGTGAGAACTCAACTGCTATCACAAGAACAGCATGAGGGTAACTGGCCCCATGATTAAATTACCTTCCACTAAGTCCTTCCCATGGCATGTGGAGAGTATGGGAACTACAATTCAAGATGAGATTTGGGTGGGGACACATCCAAACTTTATCAACCATTAACATCTATGGGAATAGTAAAGAATCTATGTAGAATCCACATTATGAAAGCTCCAAAAAGATGAAGTTTACCAGGAATAAATATCATATTTTGTGCTTGGGATTAATCACTTACACTAAGTACGGTATGAGGGAGATGTAACTTAGTACATAGCAATTACTTAAAATTCAACTACAGTTAACATGAAAATGCATGATGGAAAACACAATTAAACTGAATTAAGTTTCCACCATTAACTGGGAAAAGGAAAGAGTACTAACTTATATTTGACTATAATACGTCAAGATTCAAGTTATAATAAAGGTAATAAAAATGAGTAAAATCATTTATAACTAATATACTAATGAAAAGAAAATATGAAATTAAAAATATCTGATTAATCCACAAGAAGATAAGTATGTAAAAAAAACCATAAAGCCTGTGAGACAAATTGAAAACAAATATTAAATATTAACATAGAAAACAAAATATGTCAATTACTGCATTACATATAAGAATCTTAAAGATTGGCAGCCTGGAAAAGAAAAAAAATGGTTTGCAAAATCACACCTAATAGATAAAGACACAGAAAAGTAAGAATTAGGGTAGAAAAAGATGTACTAGACATTTCTAGCTAAAAGGTAGCTCATATCACAAGACTAATAGCAAACAAAGTAATTTAAGACAAGAACAGTTTCCAGAGATAAAGGCAGTGGTGGTGGAAGGTGGGAAAGAATATTTATGATGGAAATAGGATCAATTCACTTTGAAGATATGACATTAAAAACTGAATCAACACAAAACAGAATAACAGATTCAAAACATATAAATAAATATTGAGGGAAACAAAAGGAGAATTTAGATAAATTTGTAAACATACTGGAAAACTTTAATATACCTCTTTCAAAAACTTCAAGAAAAAGCAAACAAAGTCTCTACAATATTGTTAGCAAACCTGACATAATTAAAATTTATAGGCACCACACAAAACAATAACAGAATATACATTCTATTCCAATGTTCAAGGAACATTTACCAAAAAATAATTCCTTAAATTGAGACTGAACAAATTTCAAAAATTTTATGTCATTTAAAGTATGTTATCTGGCCACACTGATATTTAAACAAGAAATCTATAACACAAAATCAACCAGAAAATTCACTATTATTTGGGAATTATGCAAATCCTTTTAAATAATACAGGTAGCAAAAAATCATAAGGGAAATTTAAAAACATTTGTAATTTTGTGATAATGAACATACAGCAAAGCAGATCTTGAAGGATTCAGCTAAAGCAGTGCATAGAGGAAAATGTATAGCCTTAAATATATAAATTAAAAAGAGAAAATATTTAGAAATCAATAATCTAAATATATATTTTAAAAATTGCTAAAATAAGAGCACATTATGCCAAAGTACAAAGCAATGACATAATAAAAATAAGAATATAATGTAATTAAAAAATAAAACATAGAATAGAAAAAATCAACAGAGCCAACAGTGGTTCTAGTTAAAAACTAATAAAATTGATTAACTGTTAATGAGACTAATAAAGTAAAAGAAAAAGCACAAATTACCAATATCAGGAATAAAAAGGGAGTCATTACTTCAGATCTACACACAGTAGAAAGAAAAGAAGATAATGATAAACAGTATAGTTCAAATACACCTATGGCTTGTACACTTCCCTTTATGTATATTATACTTCAACAAAATTTTACTTTCAATAGTGCAGGATAAAAAATGTAACTATTGTAGTGTTCAAGTAGCACATTTCTTCCCTACTAAACTCTTAAGTTCTTAAAGGAAGGCACTGTTAATAATTTTTTGTATTATTAGCTATAAGAAGGCTAGGGGTAATATATCTTTATAAAAAATCTATATTCGATATAAATTAAGGCTTATCTCTTCTCAAAGTGCCTAGTATAGGACGGACACATAATCTTAGCTAATATTACTCAATTACAATGATTAAACTATCTGGGAAACAACTTATTGACTCATACTCCAGTTCATCTTGCTCACATTTTAAGTTTGAATAAGCCAAGAAATACGCATCAGGAATTAGTCACCTGCTAGTTTGGTGGCTATAAGAAACTGAACTGGAAACAAAGAAGTCAACACTTAAAACAGATAATGTCACAAAAAATTATTTTAATTTGTTATATTGCCAAACATAATATATGTTCAATAAATGTTTATTGAGGGTAAGAATAATGTACATTCTTTTTTATTCCTTCATCATTTACACTGTCTTTATAAAAACAGAAATTCTTATTCACCACTGTACCCCCACTGTCTATCATAGCCCAAAGTGCCACATTAGAATTTAACAAACATTTATTCAGTAAATACATGTATTGTTTTGTGTATCTTTAGTATTATCTTAATTTCTAACATTGAAATGAGCATTATTAGATTCATGATAATGATATACTGTGCAAGTTACAGATTGAAATATTTTAAGTCATATTTTTGCATAATTCTTATTTCTATATGCAATTATAAATATGCATTCATCTATAACAGTACCTCAGAAATTCCTGAATCTGTAAAATGATTAAATTATCTGAGAATTAAACTGAGACTATATTCTGGAACTATGTCCAACTTCATGGTTCAATTGTTTTAGCAATACTACAATATAAATATATAGAATTCACATAGGCAGCAAGATTCTGAAATGAAACTAGAAATCATTTTGGATAAACTTATTTTTAAAAAAATTTCAAAGATTATATGGCTAATATATATCTTCATTGAGAGATTTTGCCATCACTGTAAGAAGAAGTAATGCAGTGACTGAATTAATTTTGAAATAAATATATGAGCTTAATTAACATTTATTCCTAATAGGAATAATTATAGCACAACTTTTTCTAAGGAAAAACTACAATAAAATGTGATTCAATATATAGCATACATATTTTGCAAAGATACATATATTTGTGTGTATATGTATATCCAGATATACAAATATATTTGCTTTAAGCAAAGCCAGTGTATGAAAAAGTATTCACTTATAAAACAAGTTAGTGGTTAATGATTTATATTTCTAAGATTTACTATAGGGTCCATTTCAGTAAGAGGAAATCCCAGGTCATTTAAATACGACTCTTATCTGCTTCAAAGTCAGCTTTCCAGAAACATTCTTCCATCACTACAGGTGTGCAAGTACAATAGGACTATTTTCAAAGATAGGATTCCTGTCCGGAGAAGGATAAAAACAGCAATTTCCCTAAGATTCTTGGATTCGATCATCAGTATGTAGCCCCTTGAGGGGAAGTTCCATGTCTCATTTACTTACAAGCTTTTCACATGCTTGACATACAATAAGACCTTAAAATTTACCTAAGACAGGTGAAATGGTACACATCTACAGCCTCAGCTATTCTGGAGGCTGAGGCAGGAGGATTGCTTGAGCCTAGGAGTTCAAGAAAAGCCTGGACAACAAAGCAAGACCCCATCTCTAAAAAAGGAGTTAAAAAATGAGTTATCTGTCATATTTGCAAGCCACATTTCTAATAAAGGGTCAATATACAACATCTATAAGAAACTCACACAACTCAATAGCTAAAAAGCCGAATAACCCAATTAAAAAATAGTCAAAGGACCTAAATAGACATTTTCCTAAAGATGACATACAAATGGCCAACAGGTTTGTGAAAGGTGCTTAACATCACTAATCACTGGGGAAAGGCAAATCAAAACCACAATAAGATCATACATATTAGGATGGCTATTATCAAAAAGACAAAAGATGACAAATGTTGTCAAGGGTGTGGAGAAGGACCCTTGTGTACAGTTGGCAAGAAGGTATATTAATGCAGTCACTCTGGGAAACGCCATACGGGTTCCTCAAAAATTTCATAATAGGACTACCGTAAGACCCAGCAATCTACCACTCAGTATGTATCGAAAGAAAATTAACACCTCTTAGAAATATCTGCACTCCCATGTTCATTGCAGCATTATTCACAATACCAAAGATATAGGAACAACCTAAGTGTCCATGGATAGATGAACTGATAAAGAAATTGTGGGTTGTATATATGTGTATGTGTGTATATATACATACATAAACACCTCACTTATATATACCTCCCTTAGGTGTGAAACCTGCAAAAAAAAAAGTTGAGTAGATAGAAACAGTAGAATGGTGATAAGCAGGGACAGAGGAGAGAAAATGAAGAGAAAGAAGAAAAAGGTACAAACTTGCAGCTATGTAAGGTAAGTAACTCTAGCTATGTTACGCACCCATGAGGACTATAGTTAATGATGTAGCATGTATACTGAGAATTTGCTAAGAGAGTAGATTTTGAAACCACCTTTGTAAAAATTCTAACAGTGAGAATATTATGACAGTGAAAGAGACCTGATCTAACCAACTCCATTTTGTCTTTAACCTCCAAACTGCCCTTGGTTATTCCTGGGCATGGGCCAAGCTAACTTTGGGAGAAATTTAGTTTATAAGTTAAATGGTAATAGCCCTTCCCAAAAACTAAATCTTCTTTGTAAAACTAATGAAAGGCCACCAGGTTAGGAAGAGAGAGGGCCTGAATTCTACTAAGATGTAGGCCTAGTTAACCAATTACCAGCCATTATTCTGGAGGTCACAAGATTTGCAACCTCCCCAATCACTCCTGTAATTAACATCACTATTATAGAACCTAATATTGCCCTTTTGAGATGCCTTTCAGGCTTTCTCATTTCTAAGGACAGGATGGCCCCACTCAGACCCTCAACTCTGGACCTAACCAGTCCTGTAACTCTCCACATGTAACTCTTGCTCGGCCCATGCAAACTACCCTATATTTATAATGCCCTCTTCCATGCTTAAGTCTCTAAAACAGATGTAGGAACTCTAAATTCCCTGAAGGAGCAGTGTAAAAAAAAAAAGCACTTAGCACCTAGAGGTTGGAACTAACCAGAAGCGAAATCATAGTACTTTTCCACACCCCTATTAATTGCATCCCCAACCAATCAGCAGCACCCATACCTTACCCACTGGTTGCCAAACTATCTTTGAAAAACCCTAGCCTCTAAATTTTCCAGGAGGCTGGTTAGAGGAATAGTAAAATTCCACTCTCTCATTTAGTCAGCTCTGTATGTATTAAACCCTTTCTCTGTTGCAATTCCTCAGTCTTGATAAATCGGCTTTATCTGGGGAGCAGGCAGGAAGAATGCATTGGGCAATTACAATTGTAGGTGTTCTTACCATACACACAAGCGTGATAACTATGAAAGGTGATGGGTAAGTTAATTTGCTTAACTGAAGTAATCCTTTCACTGTTTAATATATATCAAAACAGCATGTTATACACCTTAAATATATATACTAAGAAAGAAAATAAAAAAGTCTACCTGTCAGAATCAGTGAATTGTGTGTCTGTATGAGTAGCCTTGTAGTTTTGTTGTGAGAAAATACTTTAAAATCTGTCCCTGTGCTTTGCCTTTTTTTGTACTAACTGCTATTCAGCAGAGACATCCATTGCCTGCAGAAGAATTAGGGTTGTTAGAGGTGGAAGGCATAGAGAAAAAGCATCACTATTCAGTATTTGACTTCCAAAATAGTCACTTGAAGCTTGTTTCAAAGACAGTACTCTTGAAAGCCAAAGTGTTAAAGTGAGAACTGAAATGTTAAAGAAGTTTTTTTAAAAAAGTGAGAAAAGATTTTGTGTCACAGAGGAAAGGCCTAAAGAAGCAGAACATAAAATTCATTCACAAGAAAGAGATTAGGAGAAATGTAGATGAACAGCTAAATAACTTCACCCAAAACGGAAAATTAAGGTTGCTTTATCCAGGAGGGTAGAGCTAAAAAAGGGCACTTGAGGAGGACAAGGAGAACTAGGAGATGGAATACAAGAAGAGGCAAAATGTAGGACCTCCCACCTCCACGTGAGCCATAAGGAAACCCAGGTAACCCCCACAGACTGCCCTTGTCATTTAAATGAGTGCCCTGGTGTTACTGGAAAGGAGTCCCATTCCAGACCCCAAGAGTGGGTTCTTGGATCTCACACAAGAAAGAATTTCAGGCAAATTGGTAGAGTAACATGAAAGTGAGTTTACTGGAGAAGTAAAGAAACAAAAGAACGGCTACTCCTTAGGCAGAGCAGCCGCAAGGGCTGCTCACCTGCTTACAGTTATTGTTACTTCTTGATTATAATGCTAAACAAGTTGTGGATTATTCACAAGTTCTTGGGAAGGGAGTGGGCAATTCCCGAAACTGAGGATTCCTTCTCTTTTCCAACCACATAGGGTAACTTCCTGATGATGTCATGGCATTTGTAAACTGTCATGGCACTGGTGTTAATGCATTATAATTAGTGTATCATGAGCAGTGAGGATGACCAGAGGTCACTTTCATCACCATCTTGGTTTTGGTGGTATTTGGCCGGCTTCTTTATTGCATGCTGTTTTACCAGCCAGGTCTTTGTGACCTGTATCTTGTACCAACCTCCTATCTCATCTTGTGACTAAGAATGCCTTAACCTCCTGGGAATGCAGCCCACTAGGTCTCAGCCTTATTTTACCCAACCCGTATTCAAGATGGGTTCGCTCTGGTTTGAACTCCTCTGACACAAGTAGCCTGGGCTGAGGTATAGTATTAGTTTTCCTTCTCTTTGCCACAGGGTGAGAGCATCTCATCAACAGTTACCTGCACATTGCACATCAGTTACCCAGCAGACATGGTGGCCAATAATGATGTAAGACATTGCTTGGCCCATGCAAACGACCCTATATTTATAATGCTCTCTTCCATGCTTAAGTCTCTAAAACAGATGTAGAAACTCTAAATTCCCTGAAGGAGCAGTGTAAAAAAAAAAAAGCACTCAGCACCTAAAGGTTGGAACTAACCAGAATCAGTTTGAGATTCTTCCAAACTCCAAACGAGGACAAGGTGAAATCCACCCACATCACAAAGTTTTTTGGACATGGACATCTCCAAGTCTAGAAATGAACGATTCCTGAAGATCTACAACTGTAGCATGTTTTATGTAAAATTGTAATATAAGAGCAGTGAAAATAGTTTTATTTTAAACGTAAGTAAATAATTTAAACAAAACTAGGGACAAAGAAGGAGAAATTCTGAATAGTAAAGGTCATATAGGTTTAAAAAATTTATGTAAAAATGGGTCAGATTATTACACAGCATCTCATGGACCAATCGCCTCACTTTATACATTAGGAAACTGAAATTTAGAGAGGTCGATCAATTTCCCTAAGGTTGAGTGGTGGAAATGAGACAAACCCAAGAATCTATTCCTCTCTGTCACTTATTAACTGAGTTTCCAAAATTCAGCTTTATTTCTGTGTATCCTGCTTTATTCTCAGCTAGATAATCAGTTTGTAATCTTTGAATAGATTGTTAACCTTAGCTTGCTACATAAAGCTAATACCTAATAGCAGGTTCTTTTGAGTTTATTTGGAGAGCCTTTTCTTTTGCAAAACAATCTTTCTTTATCTCTGTTCTCTTCTTTAGAGTAACATTTCCTCTGGTATTCTACCTCCTTTAACTCTAGTTCCCACTTGTTTTTATCACAGCCCCATATGAAGTCATTCCATTATCCCATCTCCTTGTAATTAACTTCTAGGATATTTCCCTAAGAAGTATTCAGAATGATGTAACAACTTTAATTTCTAATAGTGTCATACTAGTATTCAACTGAGATATCTTAAACATAATCTACTTGCAGCATAACATATAAATATGCGTATGCCATTTTCAATGTAAAAAGTGATTTTTTGTGGCATTACTATTTTTGCTTCAAAAATAAGTAGGTATATTACTTTATTTGAAAAAATAGCATATATTTCTTTATTACATAATATTTATTACTTTATTTGAAAAGTATAGAGGTGAGAAAATTAAGTAACTATTGAACACCAAGTTGAAGAGCAGGGTCTGGAATTTAGGTCTCTGATTCAAAATTCCATGTTTTTCCTGCTATGCCAAAACCTCTTCAGAAAAATTGTTAGGCTTGGCCCTTCTGTTGCTGGAGAATCAGAATTCATAGAAGCTGAATAAATTCACGTGTGAACTTCTGGTTTTGGGGGAGTGAGCAACTCAATCATACTGGCCTCCTGCTTCTGATCAGGAGCATGAGAAGCAGCAATATATGGATGTCTAGATTAAACAACCATTTGTCATTGACAAAGAACAGTAGCGAAGTGCCTTGGGAACTTATTGGGGTCAGATAGGAAAAGGATAAACAGGCATCACACATGGGTAGACAATGATTGGAGAGAATGTTCCAAAGCAAGTCATTCCTGGCAATGGAATTTTGTAGGGAAGAACTGAAACCGGCCATGCCTCCCACCCCTGGTGATTATCCTTAAGAGAGACATGGCCCTGTTGTGTCTGGAATCTCCTAATTGCTTCCTCCATTCGCTCACAATCAATCTGAATATAAAGTAAACTTTGCTCTTTAAGACAGGAAATGATCCTTAGAATCTGAAGAAATTATATTTTCTGACCTAACCCATGACATCAGTAAGATTGAGGAGGAATGCCCATGTTGACGGAGGCACAGTGAGGAGTGGAATAGGGTGGCTCACACACTGCACACATCCCCCCTGACAGCTGACAGTTCATGAATTCACCTAAAATAGGTGACCATCTCACACAGGACAGAATTCAATGAATAAGGGGATAGTTTTTCTCTCCAACGACCCCACAAACTCTTTCTGCTCCATTGTGAAATCTAAACTTTGCATGTCCTATTGCTCAAGAAGTCTAATAACTGCCTTTAAATAGGTGCACTCTCATGAAATGGTATCTGCCGCCATGAAAGTGGATGGGTTTGAGTTTCCCAATGGAACAGCCATGAAAAAGAAACCATGCCTGTGCTTAGGTTGAACAATTAAGTCACAATTCTCATTCTGGACTTTTTTTCTCAAACTAGAAGATCAAAATGGCATTGCTCTACATCCTCCATAGATAACGCATATAAACAAATCAAAAAGATAAAATATTTTCATTTCTCTCTGGAAGTTTTTTTTGTTTTTTTTTTTTTTTTTTTTGAGACGGAGTCTCGCTCTGTCGCCCAGGCTGGAGTGCAGTGGCGGGATCTCGGCTCACTGCAAGCTCCGCCTCCCGGGTTCACGCCATTCTCCTGCCTCAGCCTCCCAAGTAGCTGGGACTACAGGCGCCCGCCACTACGCCCGGCTAATTTTTTGTATTTTTAGTAGAGACGGGGTTTCACCGTTTTAGCCGGGATGGTCTCGATCTCCTGACCTCGTGATCCGCCCGCCTCGGCCTCCCAATGGAAGTTTTTAAGAAAGTCGTAGTTAAACCCTAACACTTCCGTGCAGTCTTTCAATTAGTGACTGGGCTCCCCCTACTGGAGCTTTGAGGTATTGTATGCATCCTGTGTCATTTCTACCAATGCACATAAAGTCTTTGATTTTTCTTTTTAATCTTCATAAACGAAGGACCTCATTAGGGAATTTCAACGCTCTACATTTTCTTATTCTTCTTCTTTTCTTTGATTTACTGCCTCATGGACCCATTTATCCTTTTGCAAGTGTTTTCTGAGCACTGCTATGCTAAACTCAGTGAGAACACATATGGGAAATTTTGCATGTTTGAATATGTAATTATGAACAGGACTTTGAGAAATTAAAGGATGTCCCAAGGAGGGACTCTGGAGGCTGTCTGCACATTGAGAACAACAACTGAAGTAATTACAAATGTAATTACAAACTAATTACCATATTTAATATAATATAATTACAAATATAATTACAAATATTACAAAGCCTGAACAAGAAGAAGCTGAGATTATAACTGTCTTCACATATCAAAAGGTCTCTCGTGCAAAAAAGAGCTTAGACTTATTTTTTATTGCTTATGGCAGGATTTCTTGGCCTTGGCACTATTAACATTTTGAGTTGGATGATTATTTGTTATAGGAGGTTTCCTGTACATTATAGGATTATAATCATTATAGAGCCAGCGTCCCTGAATTTCACCCACTTAATGCAGTGGCACCCAGTTGTGCAATCCAAAAATGCCTATAGACATTGCCAAATGGACCCTGGGGGACAACATCATCCCAATTGAAAACCACTGCTCTGGAATCTAGATTCCAAAGGAATTTCCAAAAGAGATATTCAATTGGCAGGACTCTGAACACTGTCTTACCAAAGTGGCTCCATACTTACACATTTTACGAGATGAGTTGCTACAGAGATGTCATACTCAGATCAAGAAAAAAAAATCAAAAACCAGTGTTTGAGCACAAGTGGAATTGTGAGGCTTGAATTTTAATAAATTCCCTTTCCCTGGAAGAATGCAACGGAGGTATGGTAATATCAGTAGGAGAATCTGTAAGATTCTACCCAACAAGTAGGTGCTAAGAGGTGTCATTTCTAAGGTCTCCATAATTGTGATTCTTTATCATGATTCTTTATCATGATTCTATATGGTTTTGTTATCCAGACGCAGACATTGTGACCACACAGAACATCATTATTAGAGACAACTTTGATTGGCTCTTCCCTTGAACAAGTTGAAGACATGTATGGCCATAATTTAAATTCTACCATTTATTTTTTGTTCTGATTGTCCAAAATGCCTAATCCTTTTTAGAATCTATGATTAAAACCCATCTGCTTTCTTTTCATGTTATCCAAAACAGTGGAGACTATTTTACACCTTTTTCTTTTTTAGCTGTTTCGGAATATATGCTGGAATTACAGAAAGAAAGAGCAAAACTGCACACACTGACCCCCCAATAGCAGATGTTTTGGATCATTGATGTAAGAGTGTCTTGGTTATAGTGTAGTTTAATATCTTACTGTGCTGCTAATTAAAAAATTTCAGAATGTTGTCAGATATGCTCACACATCTCCCAATGGAGAAAAATCTTTACTTTGTTGGCATGCCCTCGCCTTTTAATTTTTTTAACTACCCTAATCCCAAAGCTATTTTCAAGAGGTTAGACATTTCCCAGCATTTCCCTCAGTACCCTCAGGCTCAGGAAAATCAGAAAGATACCAAGCTGTAGGGTCACCTCTGGGCAATGTGTTACCTGGATCATGAGCACAGTTTAAAGAACTGTTCAGCATTGCCTAAAAATGAGACATTTTACACTGACAATTAGAAGATTGTACACATACCAGTATTTTTTAAATTAATTTTAAGCCCCAGAAATCTTTCAAATAGTTGGCTAGACCTATTACTGCGTTATTTAATGCATCAGTTATTAGATCATTTTTTAATTAAAAAGACAATGGAAGGCTGGGCATGGTGGCTCACGTCTGTAATCCCAGAAGTTTGCGAGGACGAGGCGGGCGGATCACCTGAGATCGGGGGTTCGATACCAGCCTGACCAACATGGAGAAACCCCGTCTCTACTGAAAATACAAAAATATAGATGGGCGTGGTGGCGCATGCCTGTAATCCCAGCTACATGGGAAGCTGAGGCAGGAGAATCACTTAAACCCGGGAGGTGGAGGTTGCAGTGAGCCAACATCGTGCCATTGCACTCTAGCCTGGGCATCAAGAGCAAAACTCCATCTCAGAAAAAAAAAAAAAAAAAAAAAAAAAAAGTAGACAATGTAGAGTTCCACTGACCAGACCTGTATTCGCTCCCCAAATTGTTTCTAAGCCTCAAAAGTTACTGGTTTAGGTTGGCTTTCCTTAAATGGTCAAAAATGGTCATTCTTAGAAAATACGGATAAAGTCTATATAAGACCTTTCATGTCTGATTGTTTACTTCTATCCTTAAACCCCAAGGTATAGGTGGAAGCCACTATCCAAAGTGTTAACTCTATGTGTTTATTTAACAAGGAATCACTTATTTCTGAGTTACTTAATACACTAAAAATCTCACCATAACTTAATGCTTCACAAAATGTTTTCAATATATAAAACACTGATTGATATTAACATCGATCAATTAACCTTGGTTTTCATTTCCCTTCTATCATCAATAAGTTGTATGATTTTAACATGACATGCTTTCTTCTGGCTTTGTTTATCCACCTTAAAATTACCAGATAGTTCTTATATTTAAATAAAATTAAGGAATTTCACGTTTAGCTGGCAAAGTAGGAAACAGAACAAAGAGTGCTTTTGAAAAATAAGTAGCATAATTATATCTCAGTTTTAAAAAATTTTCTATGGTCAACTCACTCATTTAACTCATGTGTTCTTCCATGGCTCCAGATATAGAAGAAACATTTGAAATTTAAAATAAAAGTCAAGGAAAAAATATTTCACTGGTATGTCAAATCAATTCATTGTCATTTGACTTAGATTGTTGGATTACTGTTTTAAATAAGGAAGGCTGTGTTTAATGGATGCTTCCCACTCTGGCTAGGCTGTATATTAATAGCTGGGCTCCCTTCAATGAATTCAGACCAAATATCCTAAGACCAAGAAAAACACCCTGCCCTCATTTCCAAAGACTTACTGAGTGAATGTGGTATGTTGCACAAATTAATTTCTATCTGTTCCCACCACTACAGTAAAAAACAAATTTTCTCATAAGGGACAACCCATAGGTTGTCCTAATTTAGCCAAATGTAGAATTTCAGATATAGAAATAAAGAGGAATGCACGCACACACACACACACAAACACACACACACACACCCCTTCTCCAACACCGCTTCTGTATCCATATAAAATGTTTCTGAATGCCTAAAGGAAAAATAAACTCATCCTCTGATAAAAGTAGATAGAAGTTTGAATAAAATGAAGTGACAGCAAGTTCATCAGAATAGATGTAACTGCTATATAACTACTCCAGCTTTATAAAATGCTCACCGTTTTTGTGTCTTTTCCCTACACTTAGCTGAGTTTCTTCACAGGTATAGAAAAAAGTTTCTGACTTAGCAAGATTCCGTTTATTTTATTCTTTTATTTTTTTAAGATGGAGTCTCACTCTGTCACCCAAGTTGGAATGCAGTGGCACCATCTCGGCTCACTGCAACCTCCGTCCCCTGGGCTCACGTGATTCTCCCACTTCAGCCTCCCAATTAAGTGACACCATAGACACACACCACCATGCCCAGCTGTTTTTGTATTTTTCATAGAAATGGGGTTTCACCATGTCCGCCAGGCTGGTCTTGAACTCCTGAGCTCAAGTGATCTACCCTCCGTGGCCTCTCAAAGTGCTGGGATTACAGGCATGAGCCACCATGCCCAGCCACTGCAAGATCCCATTAAAAAAAAAAAAAAGTGAAGGCAGCAGGGGGTGCTCGTGTAGGAAAGATGCTTAAAGTGTTCTGACTTAACCTATAAAAGAGCTGCTGGTTCCTCCCACCAAAGCCAAAGCTTAAAATCACCTTCAAAGGCTGAGAGGAAGTGGTATAATAATTACTATTGAGTATATACTCTGTGCATATATCTAAGCAATTTTCACATATTAGTTCATTTAATCTTGACATCAACCTTATTAAATAAGATCAATTATTAACTCCAATCTATAGATTAAGTACATATAGCTTTAGTAATTTGCCTTTGGTCACACAGTGAAGATAACACAAAAATCAAGAATTCAACTTAAGTCAGCCCTACTTCAGAATCGTCCTCATTCTTAATCACTAACAATAATAACAGAATAACAAGAATAATCATTAGTACTACTATTAGCCATTATTGACAGTACTTAGTGGGCACTGTGTTACATTTTTTTCTCATGTAATCTTCATTTTATCCTTATGGACTAAGGGTTAGTACTCCCAATATACAGATTCTGAGAGGTTAACTAAACAGCTGTAAATAAGACAGCGTAAGTCTAAGCTCTGCCTTTAAATCACTGCCCAACACTGTTTTATGTGGGTATGAGGAGTGCCATATTGTGTAGTCAACTTGGAGTTAATAAGAAAATCAAGGGATGCTGGGTAAAGTTCTAACTGGCTAAGAGCTAACCAACCAACAGACTCAATGTAAACTTGTTGGAGGGAAGAAAAGCTGAAGCAGAGATATAAATTAAGAAATTTTATGATTGAGAAAAATTTAGTACCACGCAGACGCAAGCAATACCTTTTTCCAGCGATGTCCCACTTTATGATCCAAAAGGACCTGACCACCAGAAGCTGATGGCCCCTCTTCTTGATCACGTTTTGGTTATCTAGGACTTCAGAATTTCCTGCCCAAATAGCCTAAGGGCCCTGGATCCTGGGAAACTCCCCAGAATCAGCTGCACCAGTGATGTACACAGCCAAAGGTTGGCAGGGGCAGTGGCTTAAGTGATATTGGTGGAGCTTGGATACGCAGACTTAGGTATCTGTTTTTGTGTGAAAAGGAGCTGGAAATGGAAAGATAAAGATGGAATGCCATGGTCTAGGAGATGGGGGCCGAAAGATAGCTTTCCCTACATCACCAGGTATCAATATAGAATTATGATTAACCCAAGAATGTTAAATTTCAGTCTGGCATTCCAGGATAATATAAAATCATATTTGTCAACAAAGATGGATTATATTTTGTGTATACTTTATGTAAACATTTGTGGGTATGATTTGCAACTTCTAAAGACCTATATCTTATAGGTTGGGCACAGTGGCTCACACCTATAATTCCAGCACTTTGGGAGGCCGAGGCAGGCAGATCACTTGAGGTCAGGAGTTCAAGACCAGCCTGGCCAATACGGTGAAACCTTGTCTACTAAACATACAAAAATTAGCCGGGGTAGGGGCACGTGCCTGTAATCCCAGCTACTTGGGAGGTTGAGGCAACAGAATCCTTTGAACCTGGGAGGCGGAGGTTGTGGTGAGCAAGATTGTGCCACTGCACTCCAGCCTGGGTGACAGAGCAAGACTTTGTCTCAAATGAATGAATAAATAAATAAATACTTATGTCTTCTAGACCTACATTTGCACTCTTTCCCTGAGTCCCACAGATGTGAAGGGCAAGCCTGGCCCAGGTCATCTTTTAACTTTTTCCTCCTACAAGAAGCAAATATACTGCTATGAGCACACTCTAGGTGTTCAGTTGATATTGGTAAACAAACTTACTGTGTGCCTCCAAGAAGGATACTTGCAATAGAGTCTCGTCAAATCACAGATAACGATGACTTCCTATAATCCCACTCCTCAGCCGCTGCTAAGGACAAGAGAAAAAATCATCTGGTGTTGTGTAGGGGTTGCCATTTACATGACACGTTAGTGTTTCCTTCATTGGAAACAGATGTTTCATCGATTCATTTCAATGTTCATTAGCTTGACACATAAGATTATGGTGTGCTGTCTACATGATGCCAGAACCACCAGATGATTTAATCAAATTCAGCCCAACAAGCAGACAATTTACTTTGAAAAAGAAATTAATTTTGTTTGCTTGCTTGTTTTATTGTTTTTTTAACTATCAATTCTATTAAATTAACAAGCAAATCAGTCATCTTTAACCCCGTTCTCTCCATGTCAGCCAAATGCAAATCATGTAGCAATGAAAGAAAAAAGAAATCCAGGTAAAAATTTAGGCTATTAGTCAGTCAATGTTGGTTCCAGTACATATCTTCATCAAGTACATGAGGAGACATTCCATATTGCTAAGACATCTGTGTAGGGATACCACATAGCATGGGCCAGAAAGCCAAAGCAAATGGATGCACATAATGCACTGAAATAGACACACATTCTAGGAAGGAGCCTTTAATGGAGGTGGCTAGATTCATCGGGCATAATGACTGTGCTCACCTCTCATTCTGACATATGTACTCTCACAAAATCCGAAATGCCTCCATGTCATATTCCTACAAACTTCCAGCATTCCTCCTCTTGTAAAACATAGGGAAAGGTTAATAAAGCCAATCTTATAATAATTACGTGAGCCATCATCTGCTGTCCAGTGACCACTTGCCTCAACCCATTTCCTGTTTGTAGGGAAGAGGCAGTGTCATGTTGCAGGAGACATATAAACAGGCTCTAAGACTCAGGATCAGTTGCTTAGATACTGTATAAGATTCACATCACTGACAACCACACAGCAGCATATTAATAAATTGAGAATCTAATTGAAAACCCATGTGTGAATCTAC
Organism: Homo sapiens; assembly: GCF_000001405.40. Lineage (NCBI taxonomy): Eukaryota > Metazoa > Chordata > Mammalia > Primates > Hominidae > Homo > Homo sapiens. Next base: position 36,997,048 of record NC_000011.10, on the reverse strand, counting down.
CTGACTCATTTTCTGTGGGTGCTTGCCAGAAGCAGTAGAGAGCGATGGGAAGTCATCGAAGTGCTGGCCCCAGCAGGCACAGCAGAAAGTGCCACCTGATTTGGGGAAGGCAAGTTGGGGAAGTAAGGTGCCTCCATTTAAAGATAGAAACTCTCACTCTGGCCATGGGGAACTAGTTATTTTCCAAGCCAGCCTTCAAGCCACTTGGATCATAGCAGAAATTTGAAGGCCGATAAAAGGAGTGAATTTTTCCAAGCATTTCCCTTTCCCAAGCAGTATCATCTCCCACGGCTGCTTTGCTAGCACACAGTAGATCACAGCTTGTGGTAGGTAAGGCCACAGCCCAAGCTAAGCGATTTCATTAGGCGCATGCTGACTTAGCCCAGATTGTTCCCTTCGAGTCCTGGATACTATATGGAATTGAATAATCTTCCATCATAATTACTGGAAGCATCAGAAGCAGCTGTTGCCTCCTCCCCATTGCTTGAGCTGGACAGCAAAGAGTCTGAAGGTCCCATCATCTGATAATGATTCGCTTCATTTCAGTGTTCATGTCTATGAATTTCACTGCCTGAGCCAGGAGCCATTACCTACCCACTTGCTGCTAAACATGGTGGCAAAAGTTCTATTTACAATACAGCATAGGAATAGTACTACTGCCAAATATAACAGGCTTATGAGCACTAACCTTTACCAAGGTATGAATTATAGACTACTACTGTTAATATTAGCCATTAGTTATTTATCACCACTATGTGCTAGGCATCATGCTAAGCACTCTATATAGGTAGTTTCACTTCATCCTCTAAAAGCATCCCTGAGATTAAAAACATGCCATCATCTGCCAGGGAAGGTAAAATAGATGAAGGGAAGGTAAAATAGACCCTCTTCTCTGCACAAAGTCTGTCAAAATAAAAGGAAAGGGAAGACATGGCATCACAGATCCAGAAATTCTAAATCGAAGGAGGAAAACTACTGACAACCTGTAAACATTCGTGATCAATGTTTATTATGTGGTAGGCCCTGTACTAGATGCTGGAGACACAATGGAAGACTGTGACATGGGCTTTACACAGGAGAATTACAAAGGAGGTGATTTTTAAAGCATTTGAGGAAGAAGGGGGACCATGTTTGATAGAGAGGAGTGAGGAGGATGAGGGGCCAGCCAGGCACTGCTGCATCCCATCGGAGGTCTCACTGTAGAGATGAGAATTTGTTCTGAGGGGACAGAGAAAGAGATTGATAAGGAAGGAAAGGAAAGGTAAGAGAAGTCAGGTATTATAAAGATGTGCTTTCCCAAGCCCACATTAGAAGAGAATCAAGAGCCCCCAGCTCTTCAAAGACTTATTCCTACACGACTGCTATAGAATACAGAAACTGACTACTAGGAATGATTATTAATGTTTTGGAGGACAAACGACAACTGGAGAATTGATAAACAATATGTCACTTCTAATTGTTAAAATACACATGCAAATACTCGTATATATACACAAAAATTTACATAAATTATCTGATGCCTATCCATGTTCTAAGATCTCTAAGACTAGGGAATTGAGCAGGAACAAAAATGTCCTATAAGCTTCTCTCAAAAACATTGAGAACAGCCCAATTACCCAAAAGAATGTAGACACATGAGAAAAGCCAGCAGCCCCAAATTTTTTAGTATGTGGGGGGCAATGATTGTATAGGGTAGATGATTCAGGGATTATTGGCCAGCACCCTTCGGGAAAAAAGGAGAAACTCAAAAAAGACCTGCTGACCAAAGAGGAGAAAAGTTTTGGAACCGTCTATAAAAGGAGTAGCCTGAAGAATGGTCAGAAAACAGTTCTTATTGGCAAAGGTAGCCCTATATGCCTTCAACCATGATGTGAGTTACTATAGAGACAAACAAGTATGTCAGTTTTATTTACAAATACCCAAGGAAATGGCTAAATTGAAAAGCTCTTAATTATCCTCTCAATGCTCTCCAGAGGGAATGTAGGAATATCTGAAAGAACTGAAGTCCCAGAGCCTTGGGGGTTGAATTAGCTATATATGTCTCTAAAATGCAACCCCAACATTTTCCATTGTATGGTGTTGGCCAGGAGTAAACAAAAACAATGACAAAATAATTTAGTCCTTCTGACAACTGGAATGAGATGATTATCCCAATTATAATGATGAGAAACTAACCTACTCAAGGGTATATAGCTAGGAAATGACAGAGCTGGGCAAATCCAAGTCACCATGTCTACAGAACCTGTTTCATATTCACCACACTCTATTGTCTCTCAGGCAAAGAAGATTCCAGGCAGGTGAAAAATTATATTGAGAAGGGGGGATAAGAATCTTACTTAGAAAACATCTGCTCTCCTTGTTCCTTGCTTCCTCTGTGGAAGAGACATGCTAGGGGCTTAGTCCTTGATCCAATCCTTCTCTACACTGCCACCAAGTTGCCTTCTGATAATACAAATCGTGCCAGCATGCTACCTTCCCCAGACTATTTTCCTTGTCCCTGCTGAATGTGTTTTTTTTTTTTTCTTTACAAGGAACGTTTATCATCAATGCAGAAATTCAATTACTGTTTGGATTTATATATTCATTAGCTTGATGCATGGCACACACCATTCAGTGCTACACTCGTAATGAAATCACCACATCTGACAGAAGGAGACAGTTTACACGTTCAGGCTAGACATAAATTAAGCTGACTCAAGCCCAACACTCTTGCATTATTACCTCCAGCACGCTGTACTAATCATATGACCAATTCTTTATGTGTATGCAGTGATCAATAGTGACAACAAGTATTGTGGCTGCGTGAGTTGAGGCTAGAGCAAGAATGAGACTTCCTTCCTATTGGGCAAATAAAGCAGAAATGGCCTTGTCCTATATTAGGTGAAGAGGACCCTCAGAGGAAGGTGACAGCCTCTGCCCACTGAGGCTCTTGCAAAGTAATTTGCTTTATTTCCAAATAAGAGGTTGACACAGTCATATTATCACAACTTAGGCCTAAAATAAAGAGAAGAATTCTGATTTTGTCTAAGTTGTTTTCATATTTATTCAGGGCCTTGTATACCCAACTTCCTTTGCATTTCTCAGGGCATATGGTGCATTCTTACGTGATAGGACTGGCACAAACAGACGTGGAAGTATAAGAAGTCATTATCAAGAGCCTGTAATTAGGTTTCAGACACAGCAGTCTGGGACAGACAGAGGCAGCACCAAGAGTCATTTTTGCAGATGTAGTCTATAAGGAGTCAGGAAAGAAACCTTAGAGTCAGATACACCTCGGTTCAAGCATCCACTCCGCCACTTACTTGCTGTGAGACTTTAGGCAAGTCACTTAACTCTTCCCTCTCATGAACTGATAATAGTGCCTTGCCTGGATGAAGAGGGTAAAGATTAGAGATGGATATGGAATAAGTCCTCAATCATTCATCATGGCGATGATGATTCCACACAAGCCAATACAGGAAGGTGACATAAATCTGAAGGCTAGGGGATAAGCCAGAAATGTGAGCCAAAGACCACAAATCAATTAGTAAAAGCAAAAACAAATAAACCAACAATTCACAGAGAGGAAGGGAAGTCCTGATTATTTTATTCACTGCTCACAGGGTGGCACCCATTGAAGGAGACTGGCTGCATCTGAAGCCACAGGTGTTCTCTCTCTCTCCCAAGATGTTATCAATGAGTCCTGACCACTCTGATTCCTGAAAGCTCACCCTGATCCTAGTGGTAGCAGTATAGTTTTTCTTCTTCTCTTGAAAACAGAAGCCTGAATTTAAGAAGAGCAAAGAGGCACCATAAGAATATTTCTATTCTCACAAAGAGTTCCTGCTAAGATTCTGAAGTTTTTTTTTTGTTTTTTTTTTTTTTTTTTTGAGACAGAGTCTCGCTCTGTCACCAGGCTGGAGTGCAGTGGCACAGTCTCAACCTCCGCCTCTCAGGTTAAAGTGATTCTCCTACCTCAGCCTCCCGAGTAGCTAGGATTGCAGGATGCGCCACCACGCCCAGCTAACTTTTGTATTTTTAGTAGAGACAGGGTTTCACCATGTTGGCCAGGATGGTCTCAATCACTTGACCTCATGATCCGCCCACCTCAGCCTCCCAAAGTGCTGGGATTACAGGCGTGAGCCACCACCCGGCTGATTCTGAAGATTTAACCATGGTTTTAAAAGATACCTGTTCTACTTGGATTCAATATTTTCTAAAAAATCCTTTCTGTGTCAAAATCCTATAAATTATATTCCTATAACTAAGTCAAAAGTCTTATTCTTCTTCCTGTTAAGATCTTGTACAAGACTTGATCTTAATATATCTTCTGTTACATGATAATCTTTATTTGTACTTCCATTCATCCACAGGGCTAAATTCCTTCAGGGCAGAGATAGGATTTTCATTTTTCTAGGACCTAATCTGCTTCCTAGAATAAAATAGGCATTCAATAATGTAATTATTATTATAAGAATGGATGCTATGAACCAATACACAGTGACATCGTAAATGTGGCAATTTATATCCTAGTTTCCTTTTCAAGCTAAATATTTGAAATCATCTTGGGAAAAGGGCAGCTCCAGACTAAAAATATTAGGGTGAGAATTGTTACCGATTTAGTCATTACTATCAAATAAAGCTCTAAGAATTAAAATTATGCTTGTAGGAAAATAAAAATTGTTGTTTATATAAGCAGAGATTTATAATATGTTTACAATGAAACAGTTCATATGAATTAGAAATACTGAAACAATCTAGTCTTTCCTTCCAAGATGATTTTTTTGCAGTTTTCTTTACTAGTTTCACTGATGAGTAATAACTCAATCTCTAACTCCACTCTATAGCTCCAATCTGCTGTGAGATTTCACATTGCATTTTTAACCAAAGCTAATCACTTGCAACTATATATCAATCAACCATAAAGTGAATTATTATTAATAATAACTATCACTTACTAGGTAAATATTACATGTGCATCCATAACTCAACATGAATTATCTCATTTGTTCTTCAAAATTCCCCTCTAAAAGAAAAGTACTGACAGCCACATTTCCTAGATGAAGACACTGAAACACGAAGAGGTTATTTCATTTGTCCCACAGACAACAGCATGTGGATGACGCAGCCTAAGTCATCTGCTATAAATGGGGCTGAGGAGAAGGATTTAAAGGATGTGAACAACAATGGCTGGTGACCATCTTATTTATTTTGCAGAAACTCCCTCAGCTGTGTTATTTGATATTATTTCATCATTATGATCTATCTTGGGATTTGCGTATTCTATCAGAAACAACTCTCAGAGGCAAAGAAATGATGTGTTTTAGTTATCATCTATGAATCAATCAACTATAAGGAACAAAATTTCAAAATTTCCGTAATTCCAAGAAAGGTCACAAGAGAAATAAACCAGAGAGAAATATAGTATAGAAATGTACAAATCCTCAGATCTTGCAGTGGAGACAGAACTATTTAGACAACGGATGTACTTGAAGTGGGAAGAAAATTATACTTTATATCTAGCCCATCTATTTTTATATTTATGAGCTTCATTGTATCTGAGTTTGTACCAATCGCAGTTCCAAAATCTTAAAGTGATAATCTTTGCTACCAAGCAGTATGTTCTTGCTAAGAGGTATGGTGGGTGGGCCTGATTGAAGGAATCCTACATTTTCACAGGAAAGTGACACTGTTGGCCCACACTAAATCTCTGCTGGACATTGTTTGCTTGGTTGTAAAAAAGAATTTTGTTTGATCTATCAACACTATTAAACAGTTCTTCAGGGACTGCCTGGTACCTACAACTAGATGAAGAAAATTGGAGCTAATGGGATCGAACCTGAAAACATGGTTTAATTCACCCAAGCTCTGATGATCCAGTTTTAAAAGTGACGAATGTTCCAGAGTGAAAGAAGGAAGAGAGAGAAATCCAATCAGCTGCATAGAAAAAGAAGTGTTTGTTTGTATTATTATAACCTTTTATCCTAACTTGCCCTTATTTTTTATTGTTTTCAAATTTTCATAATCAACTTGAAGAAAGCAGTAGAGAAAATGATCTGGAGAATCTCTAAATTCTGTTACCTATTTAAGAGCCTACGTCCAGGTTTAACCTATTTCAGAGCAGAAAATACTCAGAGCACATATTTCTTATTCTTTTTTGAGAACAGCTGAAAACCACTTTGATAATTGGTACCTCATTTTCTGACTCCCTGACCTTGTAGACCCAGTTCCCTGCCTTCCTGATATTTTCTTCCAACATTAGACAATTCCTTAAGTCTCATTTGCTTTCTGTGATCTCTTACCCACTGACAAAGATAGGATACAGGGAAATTAGAACCTTGAACAAGCAAGTAAAAATGACGCAGATGCCTGATGTCAAAGTCAGCCCAGGAGGTAATCAATGAGGTGTGTGATATCAAAGTCAGTAGTTGGGTATCTAAAGGGTGGATGTCAAAAGTTCTGTGGAATGCACAGAAAAATGAAAAGCTAAACCAGAGCAAATGAAGCACAGAAAATGGTAACTCAAGGTGGAGATTTTGGCAATACAAAAAATTTGTCAAACGAGGTATAATTAATAACAATAATAACAGGAACATATACCATTTATTAAGTGCCTATTAAGTGTCAGGCACTGTTAGGCATTTTAAATAGTTACATGATTTAATCCCTTCATTAGCTCTATGAGAGAATTATTATTCTAACTTTAAAAAGGAAAATGAAAAGAGATAGATAAAGAAACTTGTTCAAGGTTATATAGGTCTTAAATGAGAAGAAGAGAAATCAAAACCATTTCTGTCATACTCAAAGGCTCATTTTTCTTAATAACATACACAATTCCTTTCTCTTTTTCCTACCTCTAAGTGTAATGTGTCTCCTTTTAAAGATATATCAAGAGTATTTTTCAGTGTTACTTCATCTTAAAGGTTGAAACCCCTTCAGCTTAGCTGGACTGTTGGTCCAGCTCCCTCAAAACTAGCCCCGACTCATTGGCAACTGTTTTATTTTTGTTGTTGTTGTTGTTTTGCTTTTAGTTCTTTGTTCGGAGGCTAACCCCAGATCCATACTCACGTGAGCCAATGTCATTTGCTCAGAGCAATGGATTATTCCCATTTCCCATTTTCTGGCTCTCTTCAGAATCTCTTCAGTGTGCTAATTCTGGACCAGTTGTTCATTATGACAACATGTAAAGATCTGAGCATGTTGTCTGCCAGATGGTTGAACTCTAGTGAATGGCCACTGCCCTATGGACTACTGAGGAGTGGCTAAATATCCCCCTGCTTAATTCAGAAGCTCCTGAAGAATTTCACATGGTACAAGCCTGAGATTCAGCTGATCGCTAGGTGATGCAAACATCTTAATAATAATAATATATAATAACAATAATGTAAAACATTTACCAAGCACTCCAAGTGTATACCGTGCGCTCAGCAGCACTCCAAGCATTTTAAATGTTCATCATTTAATGTTCACAACAACTGTAGGAGCAGGCAATATTATTTGCCCCATTTTACAAGTGAATACTCTAAAGCACAGAGAAATTAAGTTACCCAAGTCCACACAGCTGGAAAATAGCAGAGCAGGGAATTTGAGTCTTGGCAATCTGATTTCAGAGCTCCTTACTGTTACCTGCACCATGGTCTGGTTGGGAAGATGGGTTTTATTTGTTACCATTTATTTGTACCATGAAAAGGAGCCAAGACCCAAAGCATCAAGAAAAGCAAAAGCCCTCTTATATAAGCCTGTTTATTCATGGTGAAAAAGAAAATGATAGTAACAACTAGATCATATTGAGTTCTTCCTCTGTGCCATTTATGTACAGCCTGTCATGTAATCTTACAGTAATCCTGTGAGATATGTCTTAATATTAACTCCAATTAAAAGAGGAGGAAACTCAGGTGTCAAGACAGGTATGTTGCCTAAGAACACAGTTGGTAAAAGACAAAGACTGTATCACATATCTAGTACCACAGTAATTCTGCATCACAAATCACACTAAAACCACTAAAACTTACCAGCTTAAAACAACCACCATTTATTTAGATCACAATAGTCAGATCAAGACTTTGGCTTGGTTTGGTTGGGCAATTCCTCTTTTCTTCCTAGGAGTCCTTGTGCATCTGAGGTTAGCTGGGGGTCCAGTATGCAGTTTTGTTGATCTTCACTGGGCTGTCTCATTTCTGGGGCTCAACTAGAACAACTGAGCTGAATCAGCTCTTTCTTTTCCATGGCAGACACAGGATCCCTAGAGAGTGTTTAGATATATGCAAAACCCCTTGAGGGCTCTTCTTAGAATTGGCACACCATGACTTTGCCACTTTCTGTGAGTCAAAGCAAGTCATAATGCCAGCTCAGATTTGAGGGTTGAAAATAGATGGGAAGAGCTGCAAAACCATATTGTAAAGGGTACATTTCCACAAAGGCATGGATAATTGTGGCCATTTTTGTAGTCAGCTATCACAAAAACAGAATCAATTTCTGACTAACTCCAGAGTCCTTATCGCTATGAAAAACATATATCTCCAATACAAAATTCAAGTTTGCATGCCCTTAAATAGTACATTCAGGAAGTGCATTTATATATCCATTCTCTCAATATTTTTAAATATTTCACTCCACTTTCTTCTTTCTTGCTTGATTTCTGAGAATTTGGATATGATTCTTGTTTTGCTTCTCTATAAGTAAGGTATTTTTTCCTCTGGCTTCATTCAGGATTTTTTTTTTTCTCTTTCATTTTCTGCAGCTTGAATATGATATCCCTAGATGTAGCTTTTTTGATGTTTATCCTGCTTGGTGTTCTCTGAGCTTCCTGGATCTGCAGATTGATGTCTGACATTAATTTGGGAAAATTCTTAGTCATTATTGCTTAAAATATTTCTCGTTTCTTTCTTTCTTCTCATTCTTATTCCCATTATAAGTATGTTATGCCTTCTGTAGCTGTCCCTCAGTTCTTGGATTTCCTGTTCTTCTTTAATAGCCATTTTTCTTCTTGATTTTCAGTTTGCAAAGTTTCCATTAACACATCTTCATGCTCAAAGATTTTTTTCTAAGCCATGTCCAATCCACTAATGAGCCCATCAAAGATCATCATTGCAGTGTTTTTTTATCTCTAGCATTTCTTTTTTATTTTTACTTAGAATTTCTGTCTATCTACTGACATTACCCATCTGTTCTTTTTTATAATTTGACATATAATGATTGTAGATAGTTATGGGGTACATAGTGACATTTCTATACATATAACATATAGTAGTCAAATCAGGATAATTAGCATATCTATTACATCAAATATTTATCATGTTTTTGTGTATTGGGAACATTCAAAATCATCTTTTCTAGCTATTCAAAAGTATATAACAAACTATTGTTAACTATAGTCACTCTACAGTGCTAGAGAACACTAGAAGTTACTCCTTGTATCGAGCTGTAATTTTGCATTCTTAATTGCTCCCTATCCTCCCTTTCCTTACCTCCCCAGCTTCTAGTAACCACTATTCTACTCTCTACTTCTATGACATAAACTTTTTTTAGCTTCCATGTATGAGTGAGAACATGTTTTTTCACTTAACACAATATCCTCCATAACACAATATCCAAATGACAGGATTTCATTCTTTTTTATGGCTGAATACTATTTCATTATATATCACATTTTTTATTTTTTAGAGATGGGGTCTCACTCTGTCACCCAGGCTGGAATGCAGTAGCATAATCATAGTTCACTGCAGCCTCAAACACCTGCGCTCCTGCTATTCTCCCACGTCAGAGTCCAGAATAGCTGGGACTACACGGGTACACCACCATGCCCAGCTAATACCACATTTTCTTTATTCATTCATCTGTTGATGGACACTTAGTTTGATTCCATTTCTTGGCTATTATGAAAAGTGCTGTAATAAACATGGGAATATAGATATCTCTTCAATATCTTGATTTTCTTTCCTTTGGATATATATACACACACATACAGTAGTGGGGTGCTGAATCATATGGTAGTTCTAGTTGTAGTTTTTTGAGAAATCTCCATACTGTTTTCCATAGTGGTTGTACTAGTTCACATTCTTATCAATAGTATAAGAGTTCCTTTTACTCTGCATCTGCATCCTAATCAGCATTTGTTATTTTTTTCTTTTTGATAGTAGCCATTGTAACTGGTGTGAGATGATATCTCATTGTTGTTTTGTTACCCTTCTGTTCTTTCATTTTGTCCACATTTTTCATTAGAGCCCTCAGCATATTAATCACAGTTGTTTCCCAGTTTGATAATTCGAACATCCCTGTGCTATTATGAGTCTGGTTCTGATACTTGCCCTATCTCTTCGAACTGTGTATTTTGCCTTTCAGTATGCCTTGTAATTTTTTGTTGAAAGCTGGACATGAGAGACTATGTAAAAAGAAGTCCAGTAAATAGTCCAAGGCCTTTAGTGATGTGATAGTAATGTGTATGGGGATGGGAAATATTCCACAGTTCTGTGATTAGACATCAGTCTGTTAGTAAGTATGTGCCTTTGGGCTGTGAACTTCATAAGTGTTCTCTAATTCCACTGACACTGCCTGTTTAGGTAAGGCAAGATGGCTAGAGGGGTCTGGGGTTAAGTATTTTTCTCCCCCCAGGTCAGTTAGGCTCTAATGAAATCTTAATAGGTTAGATTTCTAGTTAACTACCTTTTCTTGAGGACAGGCTTTGTTAAGAACAGAAAGCTGTAGCGTTCAGACAGCCACACTGAGAAACAGAAAGCCACACTGAGGCCAGAGACAGCCTCCAAAACCACCATACTGACTGATCTAAGAGTTTAAACATGGTTAAATCCTCCAATCTTCCTATGGCTTTGGTTACCTCAACTTGGACCATCCATTGCTCAGGCATCACTCAGAAGTATTTCCTCAGCCTTGATTAAAATGAGAAGTAAGGTAGAAGGACAATTTTCTTTGATTCATTTCCATTTTACTCTTTAATATTATTACTATTACTTGTGGTTTTAATGAAGAAATAATTTTTCAAAAGAGAAATAAGGCTATGAGAAAACAAGCTCTTGAAACTCAGGTAATAAAAAAAGTAACCAACGGAGAAGATGCAAAACTCAACTAGCCAAGGAAATAGCTTATTTTACATCTAAGTCTGCTTTTTTCTTAAGTTTGTGTGAAGCCTACGTTAGCTGACAAATGTCTTCATTCAAGGAAAGGAGCATTTGTTTCAGGTAATGTTCTTATTCCTGGAGGGAAAAGAAAGGTAAATTCTGAGGTGAAGGATATCCTGGGGAAATAGTCTGGCAAATGATATGACATTTTCCTGTTCTTGCGTAATATCATAGAGGAATAAATATGGGTGACATGGAACCAAGTAAAAAGAAAGGTTCTTAGAATAATAGGTTGTGAAATCAAAATAGTTCCTCAGAGATCAGCTGGTCCAGCTTTCTTATTTTCCTGATGAGATCTGAGACCTGGAGAAGTACATTTTATCGTCCAATGTAACCCAGATAGTTAGTAGCAGAATTGAAGCTGGAGCCAAAACTTAAAAATCCCTATTTAGCATCCTTCCTAATCAATTTTACTAGACTCAAAGATTTTTTCACCAAAGTTTGCCTCTATCTGTCTATGAACTTATACCCCTTCTGCTAAGCTACCATAGATGGGCTAAATCCTACCCTCTAACAGAAAGATGATATGTGATGTACATGGGTGTCACCTAAGGAGGTACGTGAGAGAATTCAGGGTATGTGAACTGCAATGGAAAAATATATCCCTCTTATCTTCAGTAACTTATAAGTGAGACTGAGCATTTATACCTATTACAAATGGAGGCAACAAACCACACTTGTATTAGTAGTTCCTGTGGTTTGTCACCATATAAAACAGATATTTTATATCCTCTACAATTTGCATATATTTTGAAACATCATTTCTGTTCATAATAATTTTGAAATTATATACTTATCAAACATGTTCCTAGATATTAACTGTCTTCATAAAAAGGCACATATATTGCTATTTCATTTTTTAAAATATTTGGTCATTGGTTTCCTTAGTGACTGCATATAATTTGTTTTATGGCAGGCTTTGAATAGGCAATGGCATCCTATGATACAGGATACCTAAGAACACTTCTGGGTCTAGTTACATCTCTGCTTTAGAAGGGAATCAGGAGATCCAGGAGCCAGAGAGAACACTTTAAAATATATCCACAACTGGGGAATAGACAAAGGTGTGATCCCTGAGAAGAAATCTCTATGAAGAATTAAGAAGTCTGCTTGAATTAGCTAGACTCAGCAACAAGGTCTGAATGTTAGGGTTGAAGGTAGGACTTATGAATTCAAATCAAGACTGTGTTTGTGAACTCTTCCTATGCAGCCCTCTCTGCCACCCCTCCTCATCTGTTCTTAAGCTGGGAGACAATGCAACAATGAAATTGCTAAATCCCTGGGCCACAAGTAGCTCTGCTGTGAGATACCAGCATAAAAGAGCTCAGTCTAAGAGGAAAAAGTAAAGGGCTTCCCTACAGTAAAGAGGACAATGGCAGCAATATGAGCTAAAGCTTTGAACAACTCAGAGATGGATAAATCTAAAGAGAATAGAAATTCAAATAAGAGTGTGGACCCTGGACCATAATTAGCTGAACCCAATTAACAATTCAGCAGAAAGAAATCAGCAGCATAAAAAAATCACAGCAGATACAATGTGTCACACAATGAAAAGTTAATAACACAAACGTTGGTCCCAGACGGTCTAGGTTTGAATTGATTCAGCCCCTTCCAAGATGTGTGATCCTAGGCAAGTTACTTCACTTTCCCATGCCTTAATCTTCCTGTCTGTTAATTATAAACAATAACTATACCTACTTCATAGGGTTTTGGGAGGACAAAATGAATTAATTTGAAACTGTGTATGTGATAGTGCCAGGTACATTGCAAGCATTCAATAAATGTTTGATGTTAGTTGTAGCAATCACTCCAAATTTACACATAGGAACACTATGTTCTCCAACCTATTGTGGAACTATGTTTAAAGGCATAAACTGCTATTGGCATTAGTAGCATGTTCAGGTTACATATTTAAGACCCGTTAGACTCCTTAGGGATATATAAGGGATGTATTTCCTAGAAATAATTTGACCTCTTACTAATCAAGTTGATGAGGCCTCAAGACAGCAAATTTGAGGTTATTATTTGAAAGGTGAAGCAAGAAATACAATAGTTTATCCTTCAGAATGATTTGGCTATTTTTGAAACTCTACAATCAAGAATAATGGCACTTATAAATTGTCAATTAACAATAATTTTTTTAAATTAAATAGTAAAACAATAATGATAATTATGTGGACAATAAGAATATTTAGCAAGTTTCTGAATTACCTTCCATTTTAAAGAATGAATTTTAGGGCTGGGTGAGGTGGCTCATGCCTGTAATCCCAGCATTTTGGGAGGCCAAGGCGGGTGGATCCCTGGAGGTCAGGAATTCGACCCCAGCCTAACCAACACGGTGAAACCCCGTCTCTACTAAAAATACAAAAATTAGCCAGGCATGGTGGCACATGCCTGTAATCGCAGCTACTTGGGAGGCTGAGGTAGGAGAATCACTTGAACCTGGGAGGTGGAGGCTGCAGTAAGCCGAGATCACACCATTGCACTCCAGCCCGGGCAACGAAAGCAAAACCCAGTCAAAAAAAAAAAAAAAAAAAGAGTGGATTTTAGTATTCCAAGTCATATATTATATCTTCACCACTCAGGCCTACAAGAAAACACCTAAGTCTGTGATATGGTTTGGCTGTGTCCCCACTTAAATTTCATCTTAAATTGTAGTTCCCATAATCCTCATATGTCATGAGAGGGACCTGAGGGAAGTAATTGGATAATGGCAATGGTTTCTCCCATGCTGTTCTCATGATAATGAGTGAGTCTCATGAGATCTGATGGTTTTATAAGCATCTGCCATTTCCCCTGCTTGCACTCACTCACTTCATCCTGCTGCCCTGTGAAAAAGGTGCCTGTTTTGCCTTCTGCCATGATTGTAAGTTTGCTGAGGCCTCCCTGGCAATGCAGAACCATGAGTCAATTTAAACCACTTTCCTTTAAAAATTACCCAGTCTCAGGTATTTCTTTACAGCAGTGTGAGAACAGACTAATACAGTAAATTGGTACCAGCAGTAGTGGGCACTGCTGTAAAGATACCCAAAAATGTGGAAGCAACATTGGAACTGGGTAACAGACAGAGGTTGGAACAGTTTGGAGTGCCCAGATGAAGACAGGAAGATATGAAAACAGTCTGGAATTTCCTAGAGACTTGTCGAATGGCTTTGTCCAAGATGCTGATAGTGACATGGACAATGAAGTCCAGGCTGAGGTGGTCTCAGATGGAGATGAGGAACTTGTTGGGCACTGGAATAAAGGTGACTCTTGCTATGCTTTAGCAAAGAGACTGGCAGCATTTTGCCCCTGCCCTAGAGATCCATGGAACTTTAAACTGAGAGAGATGATTTAGGGTATCTGGCAGAAGAAATTTCTAAGTGGCAAAGTGTTCAAGAGGAAGCAGAGCATAAAAGTTTGGAAAACTTGCAGCCTGATGATGCAGTAGAAAAGAAAAACCCATTTTCTGGGGAGAAATTCAAGCCAGCTGCAGAAACTTGCATAAGTAATGAGGAGCCAAATGTTAATCACCAAGACAATGGGGAAAATGTCTCCAGGGATTGTCAGAGACCTTCACAGCAGCCCCTCTCATTACAGGCCCAGAGACTTAGGAGGGAAAAATGGTTTAGTGGGCCAGTCGCAGGGGCCCCCTGCTGCTCTGTGCAGCCTCCAGACTTGGTGCCCTGTGTCCCAGCCACTGCCACTCCAGCTCTAGCTGTGGCTAAAAGGGGTCAACATGCAGCTCAGGCCATTGTTTCAGAGGGTGCAAGCCTTAAGCCTTGGCAGCTTTCCTGTGGTGTTGGGCCTGCAGGTGGACAGAAGTCAAGAACTGAGGTTTAGGAACCTCCGCCTAGATTTCAGAGGATGAATGGACATGCCTGGATGTCCAGGCAGAAGTTTGCTGCAGGAGCACAGCCCTAATAAAAACCTCTGCTAAGGCAGTGCAGAAGGTAAATGTGGGGTGAGGGTCCCCACATAGTGTCCCCACTGGGGCACTGCCTAGTGGAGCTGTGAGAAGAGGGCCACCATCCTCCAGACCCCAGAATGGTAGATCCATCAATAGCTTGCACTGTGCACCTGGAAAAGCTACAGACACTAAATGTTAGCCAGTGAAAGCAGCCAGGAAAGGAGCTGTATCCTGCAAACCCACAGGGGTGGAGCTTCCCAGTGCCATGGGAGCCCACCTCTTGCATCAGTGTGACCTGGAAGTGTGACATGGAGTCAAAGGAGGTCATTTCAAAGCTTTAAGATTTGACCGCCATATTGGATTTCAGACTTGTATGCGGCCTGTAGCCCCTTTGTTTTGGCCAATTTCTCCAATTTGGAATTAGTGTACTTACCCAATGCTTGTACCCCCATTGTATCCAGGAAGTAACTAATTTGCTTTTGATTTTACAGGCTCATAGGCAGAAGTGACTTGCCTTGTCTCAGATGAGACTTTGGATGTGAACTTGAGGGTTAATGCTGGAATGAGTTAAGACTTTCAGGGACTGTTGGGAAAGCATGATTGAATTTGAAATGTGAGGACATGAGATTTGGGAGGGGCCAGGGGTAGAATGATATGGTTTGTCTGTGTCCCCTTCCAAATCTCATCTTGAATTGTAGTTCCCATAATCCCCATGTGTCATGGGAGGGACCCAGTGGGAAGTAATTAGATCATGGCAGTGGTTTCTCCCATATTGTTTTTGTGATAATGAGTGAGTCTCACAAGACTGATGGTTTTATAAGCATCTGGCACTTCCCCTGCTTGCACTCATTCACTCCGTCCTGCTGCCTTGTGAAGAAGGTGCCTGCTATGCCTTCTGCCATGATTGTAAGTTTCCTGAGGCCCCCCCAGCAATGCGCACGTGCACACACACACACAATTGTATCTCAATAAACCTTATATCATATTTCCTTAATTGCATTTCTGACTTTTGGTAATCCAATGTATTAAGATATCTTAATGTTCCTAATAAGTCTGGTGGTCTGGGAGAATTAGAGTAAACGTATATTTATTATACTGCTTTTTTTTTGCATGGAGATGCATAACTGATATGGTTTGGACCCGTGCCCTTGCTCAAATCTCATGCCAAATTGTAATCCTCAATGTTGGAAGTGGGGCCTGGTAGAAGGTGACTCGATCATGGGGGTCGATTTCCTCTCATGAGATCTGGCTGTTGAAAAGTGTATAGCACCTCCCTCCTCCCTTCTCTTTCTCCTGCTCTAGCCATGTAAGATGTCCCTGCTTCCACTTCACCTTCCACCATGATTGAAAGTTTCCTGAGGCCTTCCTAGAAGCCATCATGCTTCCTGTATATCCTGCAGAGCCATGAGCCAATTAAACCTCTTTTCTTTATAAACTACCCAGTCTAAGGTATTTCTTTATAGCAATACAATAATGAAATAATACAGAAAACTGGTACAAAGAAGTAGGACATTGCTATAAAGATACCTGAAAATGTGGAAGTGACTTTGGAACTGGGTAATGGGCAGAGGTTGGAAGTGTGCGGAGGCTCAGAAGAAGAGAGAAAGATGAAGAAAAATTTGGAACTTCCCAGAGACTTGATAAATTATTGTGACCAAAATGCTGATAGTGATATGAACAATGAAATCCAGACAGAGGAGGTCTCAGATGGAAATGAGAAACTTATTGGGAACTGGAGCAAAGGTCACTTTTGTTCCTTAGCAAAGCAATTGGCAGCACTGTGCCCCTGCCCTAAAGGTCTATAGTACTTTGAACTTGAGAATGATGATTTAGAGTATCTAGCAGAAGAAGTATCTAAGCAGCAAAGCATTCAAGATTTAGCCCGGCTGGGCCGGGCACGGTGGCTCACGCCTGTAACCCCAGGACTTTGGAGGCTGAGGCTTGGCAGATCACGAGGTTGGGAGATCAAGACCATCCTGGCTAACATGGTGGAACCCCGTCTCTACTAAAAATAGAAAAAAATTAGCCAGGCGTGGTGGCAGGTACCTGTAGTCCCAGCTACTCGGGAGGCTGAGGCAGGAGAACGGAGTGAACCCAGGAGGCAGAGCTTGCAGTGAGCGGAGATTGTGCCACTGCACTCCAGCCTGGGCAACAGAGCGAGACTCAGTCTCAAAAAAAAAAAAGATTTAGTCTGCCTGTTTTGTTTCTTTTTATTTTTTGAGATGGAGTCTCGCTCTGTCACCCAGGCGGGAGTGCAGTGGCACAATCTCAGCTCACTGCAACCTCTGCCTCCCAGGTTCACGCCATTCTCCTACCTCAGCCTCCCAAGTAGCTGGGACTATAGGCACCCGCCACCATGCCCAGCTACTTTTTTTTTGTATTTTTAGTAGAGATGGGGTTTCACCATGTTAGCCAGGATGGTCTCAATCTCCTGACCTGGTGATCCACCCGCCTTGGCCTCCCAAACTGCTGGGATTACAGGTGTGAGCCACCATGCCCGGCCTAGCCTGGCTGTTTCTAATAACCTACTTTATACGTGTGAGGAAAGAAATAATCTGAAACTGGAACTTATATTTAAAAGGAGCACAGAGCATAAAAGTTTGGAAAAATTTGCAGTCCAGCAATGTGGTAAAAAAAGAAAAACTCATTCTCAGGGAAGGAATTCAAGCAGGCTGCAGAAGTTCACATAACTGAAGGGAAGGCAACTGCTAATAGCCAAGACAATGGGAAAAATTCCTTGAAGGTATGTCAGAGATCTTTGAGACAGCCCCTCCAATCACAGGCCTCGGGGCCTAGGCGGAAAGAATGGTTTCCTGGGCAAGGCTCAGGGTCCCACTGCCCTGCACCTCAGTTAGTACACTGCTCCCTGCATCCTAGCTGTTCCAGCTCCAGCAGTGGCTAAAAGGGCTCCAGACACAGCTCAGTCTGCTGCTTTAGAGGGTGCAAGCCATAGGTCTTGGTGGCTTCCACTTGGTATTAAGCCCGAGGGTGCGGAGAGTGCAAGGGTTAAGGCTTGGGAGCCTTTGCCTAGATTTTAGAGGATGTATGAAAAAGCCTAGGTATCTAGGCAGAAATCTGCTGCAGGAGTGGAGCCCTCACAGAGAACCTCTACTAGGGCAATACAGAGGAGAAACATGGGGTTTGAACCCCCATAGACTGTCCCCACTGGGACACTTCCTAGTGGAGCTTTGAGAAGAGGGACACTGTCCTCCAGACTCCAGAACAGTAGATCCACCAACAGCTTGCACCACGTGCCTGCAAAAAGCCACAAGCACTCAATGCCAGCCTTTGAAAGCAGCCTTGGAGACCAAGCCCTGCAGAACCACAGGGGTGGAGCTGCCCAAGGCCTTGGAGCCCACCCACTGCATCACTGTGCCCTGGATGTGGGACCATGGAGTCAAAGGAGATTATTTTTGGAGCTTTAAGGTTTAATGACTACTTTGCTGGGTTTTAGACTTGCATGGGGCCTGTAATCCCTTTCTTTTGGCTGATTGCTCTCTTTTGAAATGGAAATATTTACCCAGCGCGCCTGTACACTTATTGTATCTTGGGAGTAACCAACTTGCTTTTTATTTTACAGGCTATAGGCAGGACTAGCCTTGTCTCAGATGAGACTTTGGACTGTGGACTTTTGAGTTAATGCTGGAATGAGTTAAGTCTTTTGGGGACTATTGGGAAGGCATGATTGAATTTTGCAATTGTGAGAAGGGCATTAGATTTTAGAGGGCCTGGGGCAGAATTATATGGTTTGGATCTGTGTCCCAGCCCAAATCTCATGTCAAATTGTAATCCCCAATGTTGGAGGTGGGGCCTGGTAGTAGGTCATTAGATCTTGGGGGCAAATTTCCCTCTGGGTGCTCTTCTCATGATAGAATTCTCATGAGATCTGATTGTCTAAAAATGTGTAGCACCTCCCGCAACTCTTCTCCTCCTCCTGATTAGGCCAAGTAAGACGTGCCTGATTCCCCTTAGTCTTCTACCATGATTGAAAGTTTCCTAAGGCCTTCCTAGAAGCCATAATGCTTCCTGTACAGCCTGTGAAATCATGAGCCAATTAAACCTCTTTTCTTTATAAATTACCTAGTCTCAGGTATTTCTTTATAACAAGGCAATAGTAGACTAATATCTGTACAAATCCATCATTTCCTCACCACACTCATATCTCCTGAAAGACAGCCTTGACTTTATTGTGATCACAACCTTTTATATCGAAAGTATGCTCACAAGAATCCAATAAATAATAATAACCAGGCTAGGTCTATGGTACTTTACTCTCAATTTTCCTTTCAGAATTCCACATGCTTAATATGTTAAGCACGTCTTAATGCTTTAGGGAGTGAAGGACATGTGACTCTCAGATAACTTTAGATCTCCTTTAGATCTCACATGACTTTAACATAAAGCATATGTTAAACAATATCTTTACTAGCATCCTATAGTAGCAAATAATAGAAACACTCTTTTGAGTCCTAACTATGTGTTAGACCCAATAAATTAGGTACCATTATTATCCCCATTTTATAGATAAGGAAACTGAAGCTTAGCGAGGTTACGTTACTTGATCAAGTACACATTCCTATTAAGTTGCAGAGCCAGGCTTCAGAACAAATCTTGTCTGAACTCAACAGCTGCTTATAACTGCTACTCATTATGAGAGGGCACTGCTTTTAACATGCCTCTCCGGTTTTCATAAGGAGGTCTTGTCCCTAAATACTACAGTACCAAATTCTTAGAACACAATGGTCTCAGCAAACTAACACTGGCTCTCAAACTAAGACAAATCTCCACTTAGCTACTACTGAAAATCACAATAATATTTTGGGTTTCTATTGCTCTGACTTATTTGTTTTATTGTTATATTTACTCAGAAATCAGGCCAGGATATGCACGCTGTTTTGTAACCTATTGCTATATAACAAATCACCCAGAATTTGGTGGCTTAAAATAAAAACAATCACATTTTTGTCTCACAACTTTATACTCTGGGCAGAGTTTAACAGGGTGTGCTCATCTCAATCCCATGAGGCATCAGCAGCCCAGCTGGTCTGGTGAATACATTTCCAAGATGGCTCACTTACATGGCTGTCAAGCTGGTGGGAGTTGTCAGCTGGGAGTTCACGTGGGGCTGTTGGCCAGGGTCCACTCCCTGGGGCTGGTTGGGCTTCCTTACAGTATTATGGCTGGGTTTCAAGAGCCCAGTGTTCCAAAAGACCCAGATGGAGGCTGTAAGAGTTCTTATGAACCAGCCTTAGAAGTTCCAGAATATTCCACGGCAGCATTTTATAATCAAGCAAATCTCTAAGGTGAACTTAGATTCAAGGGAAAGAGAATCACCATCTTTCAACAGTAGGATAAGCAAAAAGTCTGTGCTCCTTGTTAATCTACTGTAGATGGTATTGACTGAGTTTCTTCTAAAGGTCCAATGTCCTAAAGAGTAAAACCATATAAAGAGTAAAATATGAATCACAGAGGAAAGCAGAAATCATAATCATATCCCAGCTTACTTGTTTTTCTGGAAAGTTTAAGAACAGTATCAAAATATACAAGTCTATTCCTAAGTTCTATTTCTAAATAATTTTCAACCTGAAGAATAGTGATGAATTCATGGAAGAACCCAGAACTAAGAAAAATTAAAAGTTCCAGGGTCTCATCAGACATCACTATAAAACTGATTTTCTACCATTACCAAAATATTTATTGCCTGATTTCCAATTTCTAAATTGTTCCCATGGAGAACTTTAACCAGAATGATTTTGCTTCTCATCTGCATAATATTTTTCTATTCATTTATAGTTCTTTCCAAAATATTAGAGAAAAGTTAAAAGAAAAATGAAGCCCCAAAATTGAAGATGCCATTTTAATTGCCTAAATTGAAGAGGCTGAACCAGGTAATCAAAAGATTCTCTGAACTCTTGTTTTCTTACAATTCCAATTAACTCCTTCAGAATTACCAAAAATTTTCACCAGATAAAAGCAGCATTAGAAGGAATATGTTATGCCCTCACAACAGGGTTAGGTGGATACCCTGGGCTGCTAATACCATCTATCTGTTTTGTTACTAACTGTATATGGTTTATAAAGTTTACAAATAGTCAAAGATCTATTGGGTTTTCTCTTAATACATATGTGAGATATTAAAGGGGAGATCATTATCTTAAAGGTCTCTTCTGATATAGGAAAGAAAAGAATATGGCTTCTTATTCTTTAACTTTACCAAGTCAAGGAACACAAGACTTTTTGCCATGTGAAGCTTACGCAGCTACTAGAGGAAGAGTCTGTTCAGTGACAGCTTTTTAATGGAAGAAAGGAAGCATTTTTCCAAGGGTGAAATCAACAAGACCTGTCTAGGAGATCTAAAGTCATCTAAGAGACATTTCACATGTCCTTCACTCCCTAAAATTGTTAGGAGTTAAAAGTCATAGACTTTTTTTTACATTTATTATTGATGTAATTTTTTTTATATGGAAGAATTTAAAAATGTATCTACTGGCAATTACACCAACTAACAGCCAAGGAGAGGAAAACTTGTAACATTTTGCTGGTTATTTTATTTAAAAAGCAGCAATCCCAGCACTTTGGGAGGCCGAGATGGGCAGATCATGAGGTCAAGAGATCGAGACCATCCTGGCCAACATGCTGAAACCCCATCTCTACTAAAAGTACAAAAATTAGCTGGGTGTGGTGGCCCGTGCCTGTAGTCCCAGCTACTCAGGAGGCTAAAGCAAGGGAATTGCTTCAACCCAGGAGGCAGACGTCGCAGTGAGCCAAGATGCACTCCAGGCTGGCAACAGAGTGAGACTCTGTCCAAAAAAAAAAAAAAAAAAAAAAAAAGCAGAATTAGCAATATATCGAATAATGAGGCTATCTAATAGCTAGCTAGTCCAAACTTTCCTCATTTCAAAAAAATATGGTACATGTGTTCCAGCGATAAATACAGAAAGAATGGTATTTGCTTATTTACAGCTTTATCCAGCTGCATATTTTCAGGAAACACAGAAAATGGAGAATCATGAATGTACTGTTAGCATACTGAACCAAGAATATGTATTGAGAAAACTCTAACTGTGATAAATGAGTCATGGTCTATAACAGACAAAATGTAACAAAAAGAAAGGGAAGGAAGAGGAAGCTGTAAATTAATAAAATGGGCAAGATTATGGTCTAGTATTGCAAACTGGGTTGCTTAAACTATAAAAAAAATACAAGGAAATAACTAATAAAAAGGTAATGGTCATTTGGGGAAGAGGAAAGGCACATGGAGGGACTTGGGTGACTGACAGAGTGCTATTTCTTGATCTGGTTGGTGATTTAAAGTGTGTTGGCCTTTTATTTTATTAAGTTACATATTTTTAACATGGCTTTTTAAATCATTGTAATTTTACAATAAAAGGGATAATAAATCATTGAAAAATTAAACAGTTCTATTTTTAAAGTGTATTATAAGTAACTCAAATTTTTTAAAATTTACTAATTAAATTTGAACTGAATGATAAAAAAGGGCTCATATAAAAAATTCTAAGATGCCACTAGTACAACAAAGTTAAAGGGAAATGCATGACCCTCAATAATTATTCCAGAGAAGAGAAAAAGTTAAACATTCATGAGTTAAATTTCCATATTAAAAAGTTAAAAAATCTCCAAAGAATGAAGTAGAAAAAGTAATAAAATCAAAAATAATTTAAATTTTAAAAATCATACATTATAAAGAAAAACCAAACTGACAAGACTAATTAAGACTAAAAGAAAACTAAGCAATAGTGAAAATTAACAGGGAACCTAACTATACATACAGCAGATATTGAGATTACATTATATTACATACAACTTTATGCAAAAACCCTGAAAACATATACAAAATGGTAAATTCTTAGAAAAAAATACTACATACTAAAATTGATTCAAGAATAAATAAAATGTTTAAATAGTCCCATATACATTAAATAAATTTAGTTTCCTATTAAAAAATCTTTTCACAAAGGAAACTCCAGGCTCAAAGATTTTTACATGATAATTCTACCAAATATTCAAGGATGATTCTAATTTTATATAAACTCTTCCAGAAAATAAAATTAACAATGCTCAAATCATTTTATAAACTACATATAGTCTTGACACCAAACTCGATAATACATTAGAATGAAAAATTTAGCCAATCTCACTCATAAATGTAGATGCAATAAATACGAAAATATTAGCAAGACAAATCGAGCAATGTAAATTAAAAAGTAAGGCATCATGACCAACTTGATTTTATTCCAGAAATGTAAGGTGGATACAATGCTGGGAATATTTTCACATGCTTTACCACAATAGAAAATTTAGGGAGAAAAATCATGTAATGTTCTCAATACATGTGTAGAAAAATCATTAAATAAAACTAAAAAATCTATTCATTCATAGAAAGAAAAATTATGAAGGAACTTAAAATTAATTCTTTAGAAAGCAATATAATGATGAAATGTAATAAAACACTCTCTTCTATGGTGAAAATACAAGAATACTCACTATCACCTCTCTTATATGCCCTTCTTGTGTGCCTTGTAATGCAATTAGGGGAAATGGATAAATAAATGATGTAAAGATTTTAAAAGAAGCAAATCTCCATTATTCCCAGGTGAAATATTCACACAAATATATCAAGCACCTTCAATGTGTGTGTATGCATATGTGTATACAGAGACTAGGAATATTTCTTGGCATAAGATTAAAAGTTAAAATTCAATTGAATTTCCACATATCTGCAAAACAAGTAGACAACCTAATAATAAAGAAACACTAAATTTAACAGCAAGAAAAAAACACAATAATTACGTAGGAATCAATTAGAAATGTATCCTAAGAATCTGTTCATCAGAAAACACCAAACAGAGAGTGAAAAGAAAAGCCACACTTTGAAAGAAAATATTGGCAACATATATAATAACTACATTTTTTTAAAAAGGATTAGTATCAAGAATATATAAAGAACTCCAATTAATCAATAAGAAAACAACTTTAATAGGAAAATGGACAAAGACATAAACAGCCATTTTCTAGATGAGAAATCAAGCATGGTCAAACAATTGTATGAAAAGACATGTAACCTCATCAGCACTTGGAAAAATAGAAAATAAAGGCACAATAATATGCAATTTCATACTCTCAAGATTAGCAAAAATTGATCAGCCCCAACACCAATGTTGTGAAGAATGTGGGGCAACAAAAGCTTTCACACATACCTAGTGAGAACACAAATAATTTGTCTATACACTTAAAGATGCTAATCCTTGAGTTCTCCATTCCTTGTTTTCCTCATCTGAAAAAGGAGCTAATAATATTTACTTCACAGGGTGGTTTTAAAGAGTTAAATGATATATACATGTGAATTGTTATAACTCTTATGATACATATAAGCCCTCAATAAATGTTAATTGGTGCTGTTATTAATATTATTGAATAGACATGCATCTATTTAGTGTAGTATAATCTTAAAATCATGGATGCTAGAGTGAAAGGCACAGCTTTCTGAAACTGTAACCACACCTAAATGAAAGGAGGAAAGTTGTTGTATTGGAGACTACAGAAGCAGGGCCCAGGGCGATAGGGAAGCAGGAAGATGAGGCAGTAGCTTTTCCCATGGAGGAGAGGCCAAGCAATGAAAAGTGGGTATGGTCAGAAAAGAGATGTGTGTAACCACCTCTACAGAAGGGAACCAACTGAAAAATTTCTCTGAGAGTTTGAAATATATTGGTTGGTGTACAAGTTGGTGCACACTTTTGCACCAACATAATATAAAATGGTAAGCAGTGAAATAAGCCAACTTAAGTGAGTTTATCTTCCAGCAAAGAGGAAGAAAGAATAAGCAAAAGAAACAAAGAGAGCAAGCAAGCAAAACCTAGAGAACAAACAGCTCAGTGAGGGGTGTGTCAGATTAAAGAGGGCTTCAAATTCTTTGACCTTCCTCCCTCAATGAGGGAGGAGGGGTCCATTCCCCTTCCTTTGAATCCAGGCTGGCCAGCAAGTGCTTTGAACAACTGCATATGGTGGCAGTGGTGCTTTGCCAGCTCTGGGCCTTTTTTTTTTTTTTAAAGAACTGGCAGTTTCTCCTTTCTTCCTCTTGGAGCTCCAATGTGCCAGGAAAAAAGTCCAAGCTACTTTGATGGAGACAGAGGCTATGAGGAGAAGCACCAAGGCATCTGATATGTGGGTGAGAAGGCCATCATGGATTTCCAGCTCGGTCAAGCTTACAGATGATTCCAGCCCCAGCTCTTCTCTGACCATATTCCATGAGAGATCATAAGCAAGAATCATCCAGCTTACTCCATCTAACCACAGAACCGTGAAAGATAATAAATTATTCTTCAAAACACTACATTTTAGAGCATAGTTTCTTACACAGCAATAGATAAGCAGAGCAAAGCAGAGACTTGCAATTGTTTTACTTACAATTTTTTGACTTGACAATGGTGTGAAAGCCATATAAGCAATTCAGTAGAAATCTTATTTTGAATGCCCATACAACCATTCTGTTCTTCACTTTCAGTACGGTATTCAATTTGTGTTAGATAATTTTGCCCAACTGTGGGTTAATATAAGTGTTCTGAGTTAAGGTAGGCTAGGCTAAGCTATAAAGTTCAGTAGGTTAGTTGTATTAAGTGACTAACTTAAGACATTTTCAACTTACAGTGGGTTTATCAAGACATAATTCCATCACGAGTTGAGAAGCATCTGTTTGTGGTGAGGAGAAAGAGGATATTCTGCTGAGGGGAAATACAACATGAAGATACAGCCTAACCTTGCCTAAAGGTAGCATGGAGGTCATCCGGGGCCCATAACTCTCTTTGAGCTTCCTTCTAACTGTGGGATTCTAATCTTAGATGCTTTGGGTCGATCTCCTTTATTGCACAAGGCAGAGAAAGGATCCAACCAACCAGCTGTCCACAAGAGGATGTGTTCACTAACAGTAGAAGTCTTTTTCCTGGTCTCATGAAAAGTGAGGCGAAAATTATATGGAGAATTTTTTTTCCTGATATTTCCCTATAAAAGTCTATTGTGCTCCTGCATATACACTCATTAAAGTCTCGGAATTCAATTTACATAATTGAGGCAGTTCAGCTAATTTTAGGAAAATTACAACTTTGTGAAAAATAACTGTTATATAGTAATTATGGCAAAGATGTTCTGCTTTGTGTCAGGCACAATGAAATCAGTACGTTTAAAAATTAAGAACAAGCGCCTCTAAGCTCTCAATGTCATTTTAAAAGTGAGGGAGAGCTGTTAAGAAACAGCTTTGCATGTTAATCACAGAACTTGGGAACATTCTGTGTTAAGATATATGATTTCAAACCTTGTTAAAAGAAATATTGAAATAGGGAAATTGATTTTTTTTCCCAGAAAATTTGCCTGTCACACTCCAAGATAAGTTACTGTTATGTGTGTCCATTAAATAAGTATATTATATGAAAAGTCACAGTCTAGAAAAAAAAAAGTTCAGACAGAATTGACTTTATCTAGGATTTATACAATCTCTTAATTCAAAGAATCACGGTTAACTGAGTCAATTCTCTTCCATGTGTAATTCAACCAGTTATGGAATAGATAGCATATGGAGTAGGCACAAGTTATAGCTGCTTTTGGAAAATTGTATTGGTCACAACAGACACAGATTCTTGGAAATAATATATTCATGAAAAGAGTAAATAAATGTACCACTGTTACATATGCTAAATGTCTGCTACATTAGCATACAATATTTGGTAGAGAAAATCAGTGACAGAGTGA
Source organism: Homo sapiens (assembly GCF_000001405.40). NCBI lineage: Eukaryota > Metazoa > Chordata > Mammalia > Primates > Hominidae > Homo > Homo sapiens. Next base: position 36,970,285 of record NC_000011.10, on the reverse strand, counting down.
GATACTTTTTTAAGTGACAGAAAACATTTAGTCCAGAGGTTCTCAAACTGTTTCCAAAAATGTCTTTCTCCTACTGAGATGTTTGGGGATGGGGAAAGAGAAAGAAAGGCTGAGAAAGGGTGTCCTTTCCAGCTCTACACAAATCTCTCACCCGATCAATTATAACAGCTCTGCTTCTATGTGTTTTCTGTACGGAGATGATCATAAGATTTCCTTTGAAAAAAATAACTAACTCAGAGCCTAGGTAAACTGTTTCAGGTGTGTTTCCCCAGAAACTGACCCAAAAGTAATTCCTAGAAAGCAACAGCAAGGGAGCGGCCAAAGTAAGAGGATGAAGGGAAGAAAACCAAGACAAGACCATATAATAAACCCTTTTAAAAGCAAAGCCACAAACTTTTCCATACCGTTTTTCAATATTCTGTTATTTAAGTAGGTCATTTCTAGTATAAGCATTTGGACAAAAATAATTTTCTAGGAAGGAGAGTGAAAGTAAGTAAGTTAGCATTTTGTGCAACTGGGGCTCAGTCTTACTGGGGACCCCTAGGAGATTAACAGCTTTGCATGTTAATCACAGAACTTGGGAACATTGTGTGTTAAGATATACGATTTCAAACCTTGTTAAAAGAAATACTGAAATAGGGAAATTGATTTTTTCCCAGAAAATTTGCCTGTCACACTCCAAGATAAGTTACTGTTAAAGGTGTCCATTAAATAAGTATATTATATGAACCCAGAGAACACATATCTGGGTGATTTCCTTTACAGAGGGAAAGAAGCTGGAGTATTTATTCACCAACTTTCTTTCATCATGGATTGAAGGCTGCTCCTAGGGACATTAATTTCCCACAGATTCTGGCTTGTGAATGTCCACAGGCTAAGATTTTTATCTTTTTGTTTTCAGCTCCCTTTGTCATATCCTAATGAGCATCCACACACACGGGTTCATTAAAAAAGAAAAAAAAATAGTCATTACCTAGAACAAATGCTCAATACCCCTAATGATACGGCAGTTCACAAGGAAGGATTTTCAGGGTTAAAAGGTTCCACCTATTTTTTGTGGTCTTCTGTTAAAAAATTAAAACTGAGCAGAAGAAAAAAAAGAAGAAAAAGAAAAAATAAATTTAGTGGTCCTCTCTTCCACGATTTAAAATTCTAATATATTTTCAGAAAACTGAAATATTCTATTTTTGTTTAACTTTATGAATAGACACAACAAGTTAGAAGTCATTAGGGTCTACACATTTTTAGCACTTGGACATCTGGGGCTACATAGCTGATTAAGTTGTATCAGGTCATAATTAACATAGTTGGTATGATATGTAGGTAAATGTTCAGTTTTAAAAGTTTGATACATATCTGGGAGTTAATCATTATCTTTTTATTTACTTTTTATTCAACAGAAAAATCCCATTTGGTTGATTTGATGGTAATTAACAGAGATTGTTTATATCTATACTGAAATGTAGTGTATTTTTCAGATTAATTCAACAAGAAAGGTGAGACAGAAGGAGCTACTAAACTACCCAGATAATTGCTTTTTGTTTACATATTTCATATGCATAGACATAGATACATTTTGTGTGGATAATCTTACGGGTAGCAATAAAGTGGTCAATTTTGTCCTCAACTAAAACACTTATGGAATTCTAACTCACTGTTATAATTTGGTTGTTTTTCAGAAAACCGTGCCAATAGATATTTTAAGTTTGAAACTTGCCAAAGTACAAGGGCATTTAAACATTTTTCTAAGTTTACTCTCTCATTTATGAGACATAGCAGGCTCCAAGTCTGATTAAGAGGGTTAATCAGCTGATATTACTATAGACTCCACTATTCAAGTAGAATGACCTGCATCAGACTTAGAGGAAAATTGTATAAACTCTTACCACAGATATTACCATTCAAACTCAACTCTACTACATTTTTTTTTATTATACTTTAAGTTTTAGGGTACATGTGCACATTGTGCAGGTTAGTTACATATGTATACATGTGATATGCTGGTGCGCTGCACCCACTAACTCGTCATCTAGCATTAGGTATATCTCCCAATGCTATCCCTCCCCCCTCCCCCCACCCCACCACAGAATCTTAGAAATTCTCATAGAATTATACAAGTTCTCAGAATTTTGAATGTGACAGAGAAAGAGATCAAAAAGTCACCAAACCATGTTGCCAAGTAAGGACATACATTCATTAAAAAGTGAAATTATTGTCGCCATCATCTTAAAAAGGAACGGTCATTTTGACACCATTAAAGTAGTAAGGACAATCTCAAAATGATTAATTCCTATATCATGAAAGGACAGTTAAAAGAATTTAACCAGAACTGATAAGCTTCCAAATGAAAAACTTTGGGTGTAGAGGAAACACTTGATTTGATTTCGCGGATTATTTTTCCCTTAAATATAGCATTTGTCATTCCTATGAAGTTTTTATGGTACATTTAGGAGTACTAGGTTTATTTTATATCTATTTGCTTAAGCCACTCTAAGTTGAGTTTGCTGATAACTAAAGTTAAACATAATTCCAAGTGATGTATAATATCCTTTTCACTTGACAGCAATGCATTTTAATCCTATGATATGCTTATTTAGAAACACAATTATAAAAACTAAACTGCAATAGAACTGAAGAGACTTATTTTTAAGAAAATATGTCTATGTTTCTAACTTCTCTGAACCCCCTATTTGCTTCTCTGAGCAAAATGGTGATAATAACAGTACTTCTATAATATAAATTTTGCAAAGATTAAATAAGATGATACATGCAAATCATTTAGCACAGTGTTTAAAGTGTTCAGTAAGATAGCCTTAATTATTACTATTATTATTACTACTAATCATCATTATTACTAAAGAATAGTTACTGGAGAAGACTGAGCATTACATAATAATTATTTTTACCCACTTATAAGTATCCCTCAATGATAAATAATTAATACTATCCTTCATAAAATAGTTTACAAAATACTATCTTACAAAAATATAGACACTTAGCATCCCTTAATCTCATAAAATTCACACTTTTCTATTGTTTGACATTTTATCTAACGAGATGCCTAGGCTGACCCAAATTTTAGGAAGTCAACAAGAATGCGAAATAGGCAAAATTTTATCTGATGGTTCATTTACGTGAGGAGAGACAGTACATGATTGGAGGGTTTTGACTCTCAAAAAGGAGTACCACTCATCACATCCCACTCTGTGATTTTATAGTTGAAGAAATTGGACAAAAGAAGTGGAGTGATCTGCTCAAGAGCACACATAGCTAGGGATAAAACTGCAACTGGAAGTATTGTCCTTGTTGCTGTTCTTGGTGACCTGGGCAGAGCTTCTGGTGACAATATAGACAGGATGGTTGAGAAGTATGGCAGATCCCAACAGAGACGGACCTCGTCAAAGTTTCCAGGCAGCACAGTGGTTCAGTGTCCATGTCCAGGAGTGGTAAACGCTAGTTCATATTTCAATTCCACCACTCATATGTTGACTAAATTTAGGCATGTTACTTAACGTTTATGAGCTCTGGTTGCATCATATATAATATGGATATAAGGAATTGCTTATAGTCAGGGTTCATTAAGGATTAAATGAGATAAAATGTATAAAGAAACTGGAACAATGCCTGCTGAATAATAAACAGACATTATTATTGTGGTTGCTTTATCCTATCTTCCTTTTTTTCTAAAGCCCCCTTTGCCTCAGCCTGCCCAAATCCTCCATTTCTTTCTATTATTTCCTCCTATTAACATTTAATTTGGGGATATAATTTAACCAGCATTTGCACAACAGTGTTTACATGACTGATGATTTCTCCTTAAAGATTTCCTTTTAACTCATAAGCAGAGCCCAAGCCACAGCATGAAGCCTAGTGATTGAACTTCAGCCTCAGCAATTGGATGAGAGAGAAATTCATATCTTTATTTTGCGATGGAAGAGGGGAATTTCTAAGCTTCCCTTCCAGAAATCACACTGGTAGGTGGACACCTTCTCCCACTCCTTGTTATGTGATTGTGTACCCAGAGACAAGTGAAAAGAAGCTAAAACCATCCCTGGCCAAAGAGGCCTTTCCAGGAAAGCAGGAAGCATCTGAGCTAGGTTGATGAGGTCCACGTAACAGCAGATGTGACTTACATACCTGAATTCTCCTTAGCTTGAATGATTCATTACCACCGTAAAACAGCAATGTCCTTAGTCAATGCTGAATACTGTAGCTATTTTGTTACTGGAAAATAGTACCATCTCAAAGAAATACCGGATGATTTGTCCTCCATATGCTTGACATCGCTGCCCAGTTTATCTCCAAACTGAGATCTCTGCTGATTTTATATTTCCAGCTATATTTATTTTAAGCTTTTTGGAAAATGAATTTTATCTGCTATTCATAATTCAAATATAACTGCTAGTCTTGGAATAAGAAGTGAAAAACTCATTTTTACCCCCTTCCTGGCGTCTATGTGTATCTGATATATAGATATTCCTTACCCTGTAATTCAATTAACAATACACAAAAGCCACATGAATTACATAGTAGATACTAAAAATGAATTAGCAGATTGTCAGCTCCTTTTTACAAAAATCCTTATCATGTATGCAATGTGTTCTTACTTAGGTTAATCCTTCTCAATTCATGGGGCACAAGGTGGTACAAATGTGGTTTTAGGCCTCTTTACATAGCTTACCTCTTGCTGATGCTTTTTGAATATAAGTAAAGCCTGCAGATAAGGGACAGAGGAAGGAGATAGGAGTTGCTAAGAACTCATTCTAGATAAAGTACAAACACAACTAAAGTACTGTAGTTACATACAAATACTCCTGTTTACCCCTCAAGCATTAAGCTGTCTTCCAGGTCGATTCGTGTTAGGAGATTTATTCAAGGATAATTTAATTGCCAGCTTCAAATGACTGGGTTACCTACACTAGTACTGCACTAGCACTGTTGTCTTCATGAAAAAAAAAAATGAGCCTTATCTTCCTCCTCAGGGTAGAAAAGTTCAAAAATTACTGGGAAGAGGAAGAAACAACATTGGCATCATGTTTTCTACCTTTAAAGGAGAGATTTGTGTATTGCACTGCTCTTGGAACTATTAAAATGAATATCTGCTGCTTATCATTTTTTAATGAATCAAATACATTGGGTATTTTAAATAGTAGGCACATTTGCATAGTGATTCATCAGACAGCTAATACACATGAGAACTAATTTTCTCATTAAAGCATTGTCATTAGAAAAAGGAAAGTATTGATATTTTAAATGGTCTATTGTCTAGCAATCTCATAACCAGATATGAACATGGATACTCACAGCTCTCAACTCCAAGTCACTGCAAGATACCAATGTCTTTTAAAATTTAAAGGGTAACCAGTACTTTACAAGGTTTAACAAGAAAATGAAAATAACTGGTGGGCATTACCTCAATTTCCACACACTTCACCTCAATCTAATGAAAATCTCTTGCAGAAGAAGAGACAGTCCTTTACCCACCTGCTGAGAATGCCTCTCAAGCCGTCCTGGGTCACCATTCTCCAGCATCAATAGCTCCTTCTCTGCTCATCCCTACGTCTCAACCTACATAGGATTTTGTATTCACCATGCCCCTTAACTAAAACACTTTACTCTTTTCCTTCTCATTCCCGTTCATTGCCACACTTCAGTGATTTGTTTCTAAATCCAAATGGTTGTGCAGTTTCATGCCTAGGTGCCCAATCACGTGCTTCCCTGATCCACTAACGCTTTTCCCAGTAAATGTCCACCCTTTTTTTGTTTGTTTGTTTTACAGACAGAGTCTTGCTCTGTGTCCCAGGCATAGCTCACTGTAGCCTTGAACTCCTGAGATCAAGCAATTCTCCCACCACAACCTCTGGAGTAGCTTGGACTTAACAGGCGAGCGCCACCACACCCAGCTAATTTTTTTTTTATTTTTTTTTTAAGAGATAGAAGTCTTGCTATGTTGCCCAGGCTGGTCTTGAACTCCTGGCCTCAAGTGATGTTCCTGCCTCAACAAAGTCTGGAAGCACTGGCATTACAGATGTGGCCACTGTGCTCAGCCAAAGCTCCAGTTAAAGCATCACCTGCAAAGTCTTCTCTTCCCTACCACACATTTGGCCACTCAGGTTACAAAGGCCCATTCTCCTTTTGTGTCTTCTTCATTTCGGCATCACGTAGCACATCACAAGTACTGTGGCAGAAACTACTAATTGCCTCCTAATATCAATATCTGTTTTATTTTTATGCTAAAATATAACTCGTGGAATGCAAAAGGAGAGAAGAAAATAGTATATCCTGAAGTGAATAAGTGACAAGAAATAGACTGAAGGATATATTATAGTAAGCCTGAGGTGAAAAGAGCAAATTCTGTATCTTTGAAACAAAAGGTGTAAGAGATATTCCTGGAAGGCTAAGAGAATGAGAAGAGAGTGAAATGCAATATGATTTAGGGATCAAAGAAATAATATTATTTTTCATCCTTGCAAGAAAATTAATTATATTAATAAATTCCATGATATTTAACCTTTCTTATATTCCCAGAATATGACCTGCTTCATTGTAGTGGATTGTTCTTTAAACAAATGTATTATTTTAAAATATAACCGAATGTAATTTACGTCTTCAAGAAATTTTTTTTTGCTGCACCATCATAAGTGAGATTATTATTTGTTTTGCTGTTTTTGTTAGGTTTCACCTGATGTATTAGGCATCTTTCACAGAGCACATTCTAAAATATTTCTAATTTAGAGCAGTTTAAATATTTATCCTTTAATGACAATGAATTTGTCTATGAAATTTGTTGGGACTGTTATCTCTTTTAGGAGCTTTAAAAATCCCTTTCAATTACTTTTGAGGTTATTAATCTATTCATATTTTTACCCCTTTTTGAATTATTGAATCAAGTGTGAGACACTTTATTAGCCTAGAAAGTCATGAAATATATACAGACTTTCAAATTTATTAACAGAGAGAGAGAGAGAGAGAAAGAAAGTGTGTGTATAAATCAGGCATAGATTTGTAATCTCTTTTCTATTATAGTTACAGCCCTTGATGATATTTAATGGTAGGTATTTTTGTTTTCTCATTCTTTGTAATTCCTTCCCATTCTGGTCACAATATTAATAATCCTTCAGTCCAGGCACAATTGTACCAGTCCAGCTTCTTCTTTACCTAGAGAACTCTTTTGCCTCCTACAAAGTTTAGCTCAATAATCTCGTTATCACCTAAGTTTCTGTGAACACTCTAATTAAACTCCTCTTGCAATGTCACATATCACAAATACATTTGACATACTGATTTCATTTCCTTTGAATATATGCACAGCATAGGGATTGCTGGATCATATGGTAGCTCCATTTCTAATTTTTTGAAGAACCTCCATTATATCTTATATAATGGCTGTATTAATTTACATTTACACCAACAATGTGCAAAGAAGAGTTCCATTTAGTCTACATCCTTGCCAATACTGTTTCGTCTTTTTGATAATAGCCATACTAACAAGAATGAGGTGATATTTCATTGCGGTTTTAATTTGCATTTCTATGTTGGTGATGTTGAGCACGATTTAATATACCTGTTGGCCATTTGTATGTCTTCTATTGAGAAATGTTTACTCACATCTTTTGACCATTTTTAATTGGGTTATTTATTTTCTTCTTTCTTATAATTATTTCCTATAATTTTATAATTAATTCTTATAATTACTTCTTACGTTTCTTTCTTATAATAAATTATCTACTTATTGAGTTGTTTCAATTCCTTATATTTTGGATATTAACCACTTATCAAATGTTTGGTTTGCAAATATTTTCTCCCATTCTGTAGGTTCTTTCTTCACTCTATGATTGCTTGCTTTGGCATGCAGAAACATTCTAGTTTAATGTAATCTCAATTGTTTAGTTTTGTTTTTGTTCTTTGTGCTTCTGAGGTCATACCTAAAAAATTATTAGCCAGACGAATCTCAGCTTTCCTTCTTCTAGTAGTTTCATAGTTTGGGGGTCTTACATTGAAGTCTTAATCCATTTTAAGTTGATTTTTGTTTAGGGCATGCGATAAGGATCTAATTTCATTCTTCTACACGTGCCTATCCATTTTTCCAAACACCATTTATTTAAAAGGCTGCCCTTCCTCCATTGAGTGTTCTTTGTATCTTTGTTAAAAATTAGTTGATTGCAAATGCATGTATTAATTTCTGGGCTCCTTATTTTGCTCCACTAATCTATCTGACTATTTTTATGCCAGTGCTATGCAGTTTTGGTTATGATAGTTTTGTAGGATATTTAAAATCAGGTAATGTGATACCTCTAGCTTTGTTCTTTTTGCTCAAGATTGCTGTGTTAATCAGAGTCTTTTGTGGTTCCATATGAATTTTAGGATTGTTTTTTCTATTTATGTGGAGAATGCTATTGGTATTTTGATAAGGAGCACATTGAAACTGTAGATTGCTTTGAGTAATATGAACATTTTAACAATATTAATTTTTCTAATTGATAAACATGGGATATCTATTTATTTGCATTTCCCTCCATTTTTCATCAGTGTTTTATACTTTTTAATGTAAACATCTTTTACCTCCTTAAATTTATTCTTAAGTGTTTTATGTTTCGTGCCTATTGTAAGTGGGATTTTTTTTAAATTTCTTTTTCATATAATTTGCTATTGGTGTATAGAAATGCTACTGGTTTTCCTTCATTCCGTTAATGTTGTATTATAGTTTTGCATAAGTTGAACCATACTTGAGTCCCTAAAATAAATTCCACTTGCTCATAGTGAATGATCCTTTTAATGCGCTGTTGAGTTAGTTTTGCTAGCATTTTGTTAAGAATTTTTGCATTTATGTTCATCAGAGATAATGGCCTATAATTTTCTTTTCTCATAATGCCTTTGTCTGGCTTTGGTGTCAGGATAATGCTGGCTTTATAAAATGGGTTCAAAGGTGTTTTCTCTTCTTCAGTGTTTTGGAAGAATTTGAGAAAAAAGTGGTATTAGTTATTCTTTAAATGTTTGGTAAAATTCAACAGTGAAGCCATAAGGTCTTTGGCTTTTCTTTGATGACAGACTTTTTATTAGGGATTCAGTCTCCTTACTTCATATTGATCTGCTATGATTTTCTATTTCTTTATGATTTACTCTTGGTAAGTTGTATGTGTCTAGAAATTTACTCATTTCTTCTAGGATATCCAATTTGTTGGCATAAAATTTTTAAAGTAGTCTCTTATTATCCTTTGCATCTCTGCAGTATCCGTTTAATGTCTTCTTTTTCATTTCTGATTTCAATTCCTTGAGTCTTTTTTTCTCAATTCAGCTAAGGTTTGTCAATTTTGTCAATTTTATTCATCTTTTCAAAAAACCAACTCTTTATCTTGTTAATCATTTCTGTTGTTTTTCTAGTATATTTCATTTATTTCTGCTCTAATCTTTGTTATTCCCTTTTATTTGCTAACCTTCTTCTTTTGCTAGCTCCTTGAGGTATAATGTTAGGTTGTTTATTTGAATTCTTTCTTGTTTATGATGTAGGCATTTATTACCATAAGCTTTTCTCTTAGAACTACTCATGATATGTTGTGTTTAAATTTTTGTTTGTCTCAATTTTTTAAATTTCCCTTTTAATTTCTTCATCGACCCATTGGTTGTTCAGGAACATGTTAAATTCCCACATCTTTGAAAATTTTTCACAACTTCTCCTTCACTAATTTCTAGTTTTAGAACATTGTGACTGAAAGACACTTGGTATAATTTCAATCTTCTTAAATTTACAACTTGTATTGTGGCCTGATATATAATCTACCCTGGAGAATGTTTCATGTGCACTTGAGAAGAATGTGTATTTTGCTGCTGTTAGATAGAATGCTCTGTATTTGTTAGGTCCATTTTGTCTATTGGTAGTTTAATTTCAATGTTTTCTTACTGATTATCTATCTGTATGATCTTTCCATTGCTGCAAGTGTGGCATTTCAGTCTCCTACTATTATTATATTCCAGTCTTTTTACCTTAAGTTCTATTAATACTTACTTTAGGTGTTTCTATGTTGGGTGCACATACATTTATAATAGTTACAGTCTCTTGACGATCTAACCCCTTTGTCATTATATGATAAACTTGTATGTCTCAGTTTACAGTTTTTGACTTGTCTATTTTATCTGGTATAAATGTGGCTATTCCTGCTCTCTTTTGGTTTCATTTTCATGGAATACTTTTTTCCATCTCTTCACTTTCAGTGTAAGTATATCCTTACAGATGAAGTGAATCTTTCGTAGGCAGCATAGAGTTGGGTCTATTTTTCTATCCATTCAGTCAATCTATGTCTTTTAATTGGAGAATTTAATACATTTACACTCATGGTAGTTGTCAATAGGTATGAACTTACTACTATCATTTTGTTAATTTTTTTCTGATTGTTTTTGGGTGGTTTTATAGGTTCTTTGTTACCTTCTTCCTCCCTTCCTGTCTTCCTTTGTGTTTAGAAGACTTTTTCCTAGTGGTATGTATGGATTTCTTACTCTTTATCTTTTGTGTATCTACCATAAATTTTTGCTTTGTGGTTACCATGAGGCTTACAAAAACAAATCTTATAGTTATAACAGGCTATTTTAAGTCTACAACAACTAAATTTTAATTGCATTAAAAAACCTTTACTCTTTTACTCCACAGACTTGAAAAGTTTATGCTATTATTTTTTAAAATAAGCTTTCTACTCTGTCTTTTCCTTCTTCTTCTTGAACTCCCATGATTCAAATATTTGCCCTTTCCACGCTGTCCTATAAATTCTGCAAACACTCTTTACTTCTTTTCATCTTTTTCCTACTCACTATATATTTTTTAATAACTTGTCTTCGAGTCCACATATTCTTTCTTCTGCCTGGTCAATTCTGTTGTTGATGCTGTCTACTACAATTTTTTATTTCATTCATTGTATACTTTAGCTCTAGTATTTTTGTTTCATTTTCTAATTATTTTAATCTCTCTGATAAATTGCCACTTTTGGTCATTTATTGTTTTCCTAATTTCACTATATTGTTTCTTTGTATTTTCTTGGAGTTTGCTGACCTTCCTTAATACAATTATTGTGAATTCTTTGTCAGGCAGTTTATATATCTCTATTTCTTTGGAGTTCATTACTGGGAGACTATCGTGTTCTTTTGGTACTGTTATGTCTTTTTCATTTTTTATGTTTCTTATTGCCTTTAGTTGGTGTTTGCACATTTGAACAAGTAGAGACTTATAAGAGTCTTTGCAGACTAGCTTTTTCTGGGAAATTCCTTCACCAGTCAGCCTGTCCACAGATTCTGAGCAGGCTACTTGGCCTGGTCCTTAGGTGGGCTTGCTTCTGAAGTCCTCAGGCAGGCTGGCCTGGTGCCTGGGTCGGCAGATAGGCAGGCCTGGCACCTGGTGCAGTGTATGTGGTGACTACCAGTCTAACAATCCATCCTATTGTGACAAGCCTGGACCCTGGATCTAACAATAGGTCCTACTGTAACAGACATGGACCCTGGGATTGGCCTGGACCCTGCCACAGAGCCCAGCCTGGCACTGGGCAATCCTAAAAGCTATATGCATGGGTACATGCCTAGTCCTTGAGGCAAGGAGGGCTGACCTGGTCCTCAGATGAGCTTGAAAGCTGGGCCTGCAGGGGCTGTCCCAGTAGTGGGTGGGCCTGGAGTCTGTATCCACAGGAGCTCCCGGCAAGCTGGGTCCATGGGTGTTAGCCTCATGACTAGGATGACTAGGATTGGCCTGGTGCTGGGACAAGGCTGAAACCTGGAACCTGGGACAGCCTGGTGTTGGAGGTGTTCCAGAGCCTAGAGCCACTGGGGTTGGTCTGCTGGTGGTGGCAGCCTAGATATGAGTCCACTGGAGCCAGTCAAGACCTAAGGACAAGTTGAAGCATGAAGCCATTGAGATTGACCTAGCAGTGGGATGGTCTGGAGACTGAGTCCACCACAAAGACCTGGAGCCTGAGGCTACAGAACCTAGCCTGGCATGAGGTGAGCACAGAGGTTCAGTCCATAGGTATTGGCCTGGAGTTTAGGGCTATGGGGGTCTACCTGGCACTGGGTTTTATGGGGGTCTACCTGGCACTGGGTTCTACCTGGCCCACTGGGGTGGGCCTGGTTTTAGTGTCTGAGGTAAAGTCTAATGCCCACTTTCCTCTCCTTCCCCCACATGGAGGGTCTTTCTCTCCATGCTGTGTTTTCTGGGGTTGGGGAAGGGGCAACAATGTAAAACTGCCTTCCTACCCTCTTCAATGCATCTTTTCTTTTTTCTGTGCTATATCCAGGTGCTCTCACCTGGTGTCTTCAGCTCCTGTGAAGGTATTTTCACATGTGGATAGTTGTTTTAATTACTGATTCTGCAGGGGGTATGAGGGCTGGATAATGCTATTATTCCATCTTTCTCCTCTTCACCCTAAATGTTTTTATTGAATCAGTAGGTTTTCATCTTTATTATTGTGGCTACCATGCTGTTTTCTTTTTAAAAAATATATCACCTCAAGCACTTATCATTTCTTTGTGTTGCAAACATTCCAATTATACTTTATCAGTTATTTTTAAATTCATAATAGATTATTGTTGACTGTAGTCACCCTGTTGTGCTATCAAATACTAGATTTTATTCATTTTATCTAACTATGTTATATATTTATTAACCATCCCCACTTCCCTCCCAACACACTTCCCTTCCCAGGCTCTGGTAACCATCATTCTACTCCTTATCTCCATACATTCAATTGTTTCAATATTTAGCTCCCATAAATAAATGAAAACGTGAAGTTTGTCTTTCTGTGGCAGGCTTATTTCACTTAACATAATGTCCCCCAGTTCCATCCATGTTGTGCATTCGATTTTGTTATTATTATAAGTAACATTACACATTGAATTACTTTATAGATAAGTCTCTCCTTACAACTATATTTTTATAGCAAAAAGTGATTTATGTTCAACACAGACTTGAAAATCACAGAAAAATCCCACTGAAATAAACCTCCCAACGTTCAGTTTTGAATCTATCTTCTAAAGATAATTGGATATTAAGTTTTGTTGTATGACTTCTTAATATTCTCTTCAGTCTTTCTCTCCACATAAGTGTGTGTGTAGAGTTATAAAAAACAGTATCAAATTGCATATACATTTAAGCCTCTTTTTTTACCATTATATTAAGAATGTGTCAATGTTTTATTTTTAATTTGGTTTTACATCTTTTAGTGGGCATGTCTTACATGCCTCACCAAATACCCTCAGCCACAAATGTCTCCTGACACTCACTTCTCTGCTCATCTTCAGCCACTGCATTGGTAAATGATTTTACAGGAACCAACCAGCTAAAAACCCAGAGTCTCTGGCTCCTCTCACCATTTCCAAACTTGAATGAAGCACAACCAGTACATGGAATCTGGCTTCCCTATTGGTTGAATAAAGAGCCAGGGATAACACCCAGAAGTGTGAGGGAGTTAACTCCCTGAAGGATGAACTTTGATTGGGGTAAACAGGAGACAGATTGGAGCCAAGAAGTAAATTCTTTCTCAAGTCTTTTTTCAGATGACCTGTTCTAAGGCAGTTTCCCACTACAACGTGCCTGAAGGAAAACAGTGGTTAGTACAGCAACATACCACTTTGCACTTGCTTCTCATCCTTTGACTCACTCCTTTTGCCTCACGCTTGCTTCCTGGGAATTTTACCTTCCAATAAGGATTGGCACAATCTCGGTTTACTGCAACCTCCACCCCCTGGACTCAAATGATCCTCCCACCTTCAGCATCCCATGAAGCAGGGACTACAGGTTTTTGTATTTTTTGTAGAGATGGGATTTCACCATGTTGCCCAGGCTGGTTTCGAATTCATGGACTTAAGTGATCTACTTGCCTCGGCCTCCCAAAGTGATGGTATTACAAGCATGGGCCACCGTGCCCAGCCAGGATCTCTTTTCTATGGACTACAGGCTAGGCACTTGCATAATATTGTATCATTAAGATATTATAGCTCAATAATTAATATCCCATTGATAAACATTCAGGTGTTTTCAAATACTGCTTATTACAACTAATGCTGTTATAACTATCTTTACACTAAAATATTTATGCATATCCCCTATTATTTTCTTAGGATAAATCATAGTGTTGAATTTCTAAAAAATGGCATGAACCTTTTTAAGGAAGAAGAAACATTTTAGCAAATTACATTGAAGTTCTTTAACTCCAGACTTCATAAGTAAGCAAATAAATTAGTTGGGAATTACTGAATATACAATTTGAAATAGGAATCTTTTATAGTTAAACGTGTTAAAATTTAGAAACTATGTAGAATATATAGTCAGTTCTGAGACAAACCTCTCCTCTAGCTCCTGACTCATTTAAGAAACAAGCAACAAATTGTAATGTTCATAAGAGCCTCCAATATGTTCAGTGGATTTTCTTCATTTTCCAGATAAAGCATATCCCATTTATACAGGAATACTTTTTCTCACTTTAGCAATCATCTTCTTTTAAGTGCGTAGTTTTTGCTTATGTGCTCATTTCACTAATAACTTTGAGCCTTTTTGTAATTCGTTCAGAAAACAATAACAAAGAAATTTTATTGCTTTTAAATAATCAGCAAAATTCTACATGCTCCCCTACCTGGCTAATGGGACTATCTGTATGATATCGCAGTTCATTATTTCACCATAACTTCTTAGAGGGCACAGAATTATTACAAGGTTCCAAGAATTTACACTTGCTCTCAGCACTGTCCATGATAAACTGCATAAATGAAACACATTTGCTACTTGGATCCATTCTCTTATGTATTTTTTTCAGATTATACTTAATAAAAGTATCACTATGACAGGAAGGTATATGAAGTTTGGGAAGTTTACATGAGCATCCCCATATTGGCAAACATAAGAAACTACTGTTCTAATCCCAGCCCTGTGTCCTGTGTTTGTAAGATTTCAAATTCTACCTATACCCAACATCCTGAATGCTGTGGCAATGAGAGAGAATGTTTTTAATTTCAGATATTTGCTTTCTCCTTGAATCCAAAACTGAAGGATACACATAAGCAAAGCATTGTGGTAGTGCATATCTACTGAATAATCTTGTAATCTATCCAGATATCCTGTGTCCAAAATGCACTACCATTTAGTAGATGAAGTTGGGCTCCACAGTAAAAATCTTTGTGTTCAAATCCTGGCTCCACTGCTGTGTCACTTTTGCAAATTGCCTAGAATCTCCTCTATCATAAAATTGGGATAACAGCTTTATCTATTGCACTGGGTTATTGTGAGAATTGAATGTATAGGTGAGTTAGAAGAGTGCTTGGCACATGGTAAGCATATAATAAAATAAAAAAATAGTAAAAATAAAATTTTAATTACATCATGCCCAATATCATACTGACTACCTGTATAACATTTGACTTCAGTCATGTGACCTCGTACCTCCTTCCAGATTTCAAAAGACTTTCAGGGGAGAAAAAAGAGTGAAAAAGAATTAACATTAATTCAGTACCTAACACATTCCAAACACCCTACTATTTATTATCCAGACCTCTACCTAAGCCTGTTAATTCTGGATACTCCACATGATATCATTTTATACTTATTAAAATGGACCCACATTCGACATTGTATAATTTGTGGCACTTAAGAGATTGAAAGGACTTTTATAACTGTGGTCTCAAAATCACTCTCAATTTTAATTTTCCAGCATTTCAATTTAGAACTTAAGAGAAAAAAATATTTTATATCTCAAACATCTTAAATGGCCCTTGAAAATATAGGCGGTAGGCACTCTGCCTATAGTATCTAATGGATAATTCAGCCCTCTTTCCATCTCATATCTTTATCAGCAAAATTAAATTTTCTGTTCTGTTGATGAGGAAACTGAGGCTTTGCCAAGTTAGCAATTCTTACCAATGTGACCTTGGAAAAGCATTAAACCCAGGGCTGGCCAAGATCAGAAGCACTTTCCTCTACATCATGTGGCATCTAGTTTTCCCTTGTTTCTCACCTCAAAGTGAGGCAAAGGACCTTGTATGGCCCCTTGAAGTAAATACATGGGTCTCAGTGTTCTTCTTCCCTAGGAAGGCAGTGCTGAATCAGAAATCTCCAGTTCTAAATCCTTTTTGGCAGAAAGCCCAGATTTCTGGAATTTCATTTAATGTCTTGTCAGGCTGCCCATCAAGAATTAAAGCTCCATGACTTCATGTGGCTGAAGCCCAAAACTCTTAACATTTCATTTTATCTTTAGTTTAAACACCCTTTTGTTTCTGTTCTTATCAGTTAGATGTTTGTTTTATGCCCTGTCCTTTAAGTTTTAAATCCCTTTTCCTTCTTGGTGTCTTTTTCCTTCTTGGTGTCTTTTTCTAGTTATTGGCCTACCTGGCAGTGAGAAATAGCCATGTGCCTTAGTTGTGTGAAACAATTCTGATATCAGAGTCTATGGCCTGGAAATTGAAGAGATAAAAGTGATCTGTGATAAGCATCAAAATACACCCACATTTTAGTTCTTTGCTAACTTTTTCTAAAGTATTACAACTATTTATCTTAGTTCCATAACATGTTTAATCTGAAAATAATATTTATCTTACATGTATAAATAAGGAGAGTGTATAGGATGATCCTTAAATTCATAGATGATGCCTGACCTTGGCCATCAGAGACATCAGATAGGTCTAGGCCTATAATAGCCATTAATATTTATTGAAGACTTTATAATGCAAAGCACAACTCAAAGTGCTTTGCATGTATTAACTCACTGCATCCTCTTAACAAACCTAGGAAGTCTTATTCCCATGTAACAGGGGAAACTGAGGCATAGAGAGATGAAGTAAGTTTTCTAAAGTTACAATGCAAGTAAGTGGTGGAATAGAAATTTGAAAACAGGAGTTCAGCATCAGC
The DNA here is from genome assembly GCF_000001405.40 of Homo sapiens. Taxonomy (NCBI): domain Eukaryota; kingdom Metazoa; phylum Chordata; class Mammalia; order Primates; family Hominidae; genus Homo; species Homo sapiens. The sequence continues at coordinate 36,953,418 of NC_000011.10, read as the reverse complement.
ATCCACAGCCTTAACCACTAACAAGTAATACCTGTTCCATTTGGGAGGAAAAAAATTAAGGAAGGAAGGACTCATGTGGAAGAGATGCTGGTATAATGATGAAGGTGAAAAAAGAGGAAAAAAGAGGAAAAGTATTTGTTCTGCTGCCACTCAAGAATTAGGACCCTATAACAAAAACTGTAGGAAGATTTTCCAGAGGATTCAGTTTGAAGACAGAGGAAGAGACAGAAAAGAAGACATTCTCGCACTTAGGGGCAGGAAACAAACGATGGGGTTTGGTGGCATGTGGAGCACTAAGACTTGAAATTCTTTGTAGAGATGTTGGTATTTTCACATTTGGTACCTTTAGTAATGGCAGCATTAGTCATGTTGAAGTGACTTCCCAGGGAGAGCATATCATATTTGGAGGTCAGAACAAGAAAAGAAGTATTTTATGCCACCTGGAGACCATAGCTACTAGATGATATGAGCACGATGGAAACCATGACCTGGACAGGAAATGCCAATATGAACAGTTATGGGCTTAAGTCAGTGAAATTTATATTATCATATTTAGGCATTGGCTTAGAAAAACTCAGAATACTAATAAATAGATTTAATTGTGTCGCAAAATTGGGAACATTAACAGTATAAAATATAAAGTTATAACCACAGGCAAACTATTTAAAAAATAACCAAAAACAAGATTTAGAAATGTTTGTGGATTACCCATATATCACTGAAAACCACTGTTTTAGAACATACAAAGTTGGGAAGATGGGTGATTTTTGCTAGTTTTTTTTTCTTCAAATCTAAGAACTGTTTTGATACCTACTTATAAGATTCCTATAAGGAATACAAGACATGAAAGTACAGCTAATAAATGGTGTTGAAAAACTGTGAACCATTGTACAAATGCTAAGCTTAATGCTGCAACATGACAGCAAAATTAGAAAGGAAAAAAAAAGAACAAGAGCATTCCTTCCTCCCATTGGGTACCTTTGGGGGGCATGAGTAGAAGTAATACCAGCAACTAGACCTCATTTTTTTTCAGAGCATATAGCATAGTTTTTTGATTGTCTTACAGACAGCCTCAATAATAAAGTGAATCATTAGAATTTACAGTCTTACCACGAGAAATTATACTAGACCTATCTGTCAAATCAAGAGAGAAAGATCAAGGGAAAAAGTACCCATAATATAACCTCATTGGAACTATACTAGTCTTCTTCTTGTTCTTCCTATTCTCACTTGCCCTCCTCCCCAATCCATTCTCCATATTAAACTGGGAGTAATCTTTATAAAACACAAGTCCCTTATGCCACTATGTTGCTGAAAGCCTGTTAGTGGTCTAGCATTCTCTTGGGACAGATTCATTGGCTATAGCATGACTTAAGAAACCCTGCTAAGCCTGTCTTCCTCTCCAGTTTTGTCTTAGGCCATTCTTCCTTGCCAGCATGAAGCTCCACTCAGTTTGCATGAAACTCATTCCTGAATTCAGGCATTTTTATTTGTTGTTCCCTCTACCAGAATTGTCATCTGTTACCTGTACCTTCCTTGCCTGGCTAACTCCTTATCCTTCACATTTCTGCTTAAGTACAATGTCACCCAGGAGGTCTGTAATGACCACCCTCCCAACCCCCTATACTAAGCGATAGCATCCACTACTGTGTGCTTTGTGAGCTACGATTTCACAGATGAGTCTCTCCAATTCCCCTGCCTCAATTTCCTAATCTCTGAAACAGAGGCCTCAGAAGGTTAGCCAAAAAATAACCTATATTGACTACTTGGGATGTGTCAGCCATTTAATTGAATCCTCACCACAGCCTATCAAATAGTCCATGAATGACTGCTTTGCAATCTGCAACCAGCTTCTTCTTTCTTATGATGTGAAGTGCACCCGTGCCTCACCCAACTCACATCACGTTGGACATCTGCACCTGAAACTCATAAGTGATTCTTCACATTCATGACCTTTCAGAACTTAACTGGAGAGTCCTCATGGAAATGTGGATTCGTTCTATATGAGCAGCTGGACATAATCATCTGTTCACTGTCTTAGGCTCAACACAGGGAGTGGGTCTGTGAGTTGTTTCAATATAAGTTATGTTAAGAAATATTATATTACTCTTTGTTCTGCCTTATTTTGTGACCAGGTCACTGGGTGTCTTTTCCAGGGTGTCCTGCCCTATCTCATTGTGAAAATCCTTCCTCCATGGCTTCATCCTTTAGTACCTGTCAGGGGTCCTCTCCCAACACCCTGGACTTTCTCTCAGCATTGATCTAAGAATTTGCCTAATCCTCCAAAACTCCTTCAGAAGTGTTTTCCTTTCCCCTTTGTGTCCTCTACTTCTGAACAGACATTTGTCTCAGGTCCCACACTTCTCCCTCTTCCCACTTTTACAATTCTTGAAGGTCTTCTTTTCATTCTTCTGGTATGAATCTCTTGTGCTATCCCACTTGCACCCCTCCCCCCCTTAGTTTCTCTTGCTGAGCTTTGTTGGGAGGCCATCTGTGCTCAACAGAACTCTGTGTGTTCCCCTACATTTCCCAGCCTCCCTAGCAGGTAGACTGTGGCAGTGGGATTAATTCCAGCCAATGACTGAGGAGAAGGGGCATGTGTTACTTCCGGGTAAGGTAATGAAGAGCTGATGTTCTTCCTCTCTTGCTCTCTCCCTCTTGCTCTTGGTCTTCTTTTAGTTCCAGATCCAGATCTATCTATCTTCTCCAGCCCCAGCCCCTGAAACCCTGGAGCCCAAGGATTCCAGATTGCATACCTACAAGATGGAGAATGGCAGAACCATATAGGATTTTAAGAAATAAATCTACATTGCTAGGTCCATGAAATTTGTGTGTGTTTCTGTTTCATCCGAAATTATTAATTCCACTGGCTAGGATGAACCTTCTTCTCCTCTTTGACCCTGAAAAACTAAGAGAAAGCTTTGTTCCTCTGAACTCACCCTGTCCCATTTTCTCAAAAGGAACCACCTTCCCCTACTCACTTCTTGGTATACCTTCTATTCAACCTAAGGTATTATCTTTATTTTCCTTTATCTTTAACTTGTACCTTCACTATAGCTGTATAGTTGATTATCTTAGTGGAGAGTCCTTCTCCCATGTTGTCTTGGCCAGGTTCTCTACGAAAAAAAAAGGTCTACATATCTACATGCTAATACTATATTGAGAGGAGCAATCTCAGAGCAGCAAGGTTGAGAAAACGGGAAGTGAAGCAGAAAAGTAGCAAATCAGTTACAAGGTGCCAAGTTGCTAAGCTGGCCTTCACGAAAAAAATCAAAGCTATTTTCTTAGTCAGGTAAGATATCTCTAGAGAGGCTCTACGGAGCCACTGTGTGCAAACTGAAGGGAGGACGTGAAATTCGTCTGCTAAGTGGTGTCTGTCTCCTTTCTCTCATTGGTCAGTTTGCCCCGTGTTCTCAGATTGTGTAAACTGACTACTACAGGAAGTCTCAAGGAAAGCCATTTCTCTTGCCTCAAAGTTTGTTTCTCTTTACATGAGCCCAGAAGTAGTGAAAGGCACCATATCTCCTATGGGCCTGATTAGTTCAACTGAGGCACCAAAGCCTACATGGTAGTTGCATGGAAGAGGCTGTGCTGGAACCTGGTTCTCTCTGTGGGAGTAGATAAGATAGCCTGTGGTGCTAGGAGATGAGGAAAGAACAGGAGTAATGGCAAGGGATCTCTGTCTAACAGTCACACACAGGGCTGAGCAGATCTGGGGAGAAAAATAGACTGGGTCTTCTACAAATAGCATAAATCTTTGGTCACAGTTAATGTGTTAGATACTTTCTCAACTATTTATTGGTCTCTAAACTTACAGTGTGCAAAAACCTCAAAAAGCTGCAGAGGACTGTTATATGAGCTTCCCTGCCCCTTTACAGTGGTAAACCCCTCACTGTACACAAAAATCCAAATACCAAAGGACAGAAAGATCAAGTTGAAAAATTATAAATAGCCAGTGCAAAAAATTTAGGTAACCATGTAGTAAACCCCTTTCAAATGTGTTTATTCCAGATGTACATTCATACTTTACTAGAGTCACAACATAAGTGTCACAAAGGCAGCTGGAAAAACCCTTTTCAAAATCTGTATCCTCAGTGAAAGGCAATTCAGCAGTCGTTTGCACAAATACAAAATCTCCAGTGCAAATACAGGATCATTTCAATTACCTCCTAGAACTGGCTAACAGTTATCAACAACTGAAACATGACATTTCATTCAAAACTAGCGGGGACCATGAGTGTGGAGGAGCAGGAAAGAACCAGCCAAAGACTCAGGAAGCCCCAGAGACTCAGGAAGCTCACAATTATGCCAGCCACTCCAGCCCTGCAGCTGAAATGCCCTTAATAACAGTGTATTTTTAAACATTTCTACCCGGGCAGCAGAGACAGACAGAGGAAAGACAATCAGCCCAAACAATTCATTCAGCTGCCAATGTGGTCCACAGCACGTGTATCCTCTGTAGGCCAGCACTGTGAATTGAGGGAGACATGGGTTTACCACTCAGACTCCTGATTTAAAAATAGAAGAAAAGTCTCAGCCCCTGCTGGCCTCTCACTCTCACCCAGCAGGATGGTGATTAGCTGTACTTTCTCTAAGCCATTCCTTCTTATTAACCTTATTGGCCATTTTCCATATTCGTGTTTGGACCCTGGCTATGAGATCACGTTTGTATGGAGTACATGCACTGATGCAAGGTCTGCAGGCTTAGTGAGCTCGGGGCCGTATGGGGTGCATGGTGTGATTTTTAACTGTGAAAGGCATCTAGTGACATGAGAGACAGCAGACAGAAGTTGTTATCAGTTTGGATTTGGCAGTATTCCACTCCAGCTTCAGGAACTCAGACGCATAAGCTGTATGTGTTCTTGGGACATTTTCTGATGTCATAAAGGAAAAAAGAAAAAAAATCATGCAATTAATCTGTGCTGATGTTGGGCTGGGGATACAGATGCTTAGGTCTGTGAAGTCTTTCCTCTCCTGAGAGTGATCATCTAAAAATTAATTGTCTGCATGAAACTAGAAAAAGGTCACTACTCCATTTCAGGATAACTTTGTTTGTCAATAAATAAATAAATATGGTGAAAGAAGCTATCTTTGACTGTATCCCCACCCAAATCTTACCTTGAATTGTAGTTCCCATAATACCCATGTGTTGTGAGAGGAACCCGGGGGGAAAGTAATTGAATCATGGAGGCGGTTACCCCCATGCTGTTCTCCTGATAGTGAGTGAGTTTTCATGAGATCTGATGGTTTCATAAGAGGCATTTCCCCCTTTTGCTCTGCACCTCTCCTTGCTGCCGCCACGTGAAGAAGGACATGTTTGCTTCCACTTCTGCCATGATTGTAAGTTTCCTGAGGCCTCCTCAGCCATGCTGAACTTCTTTCCTTTGTAAATTACCCAGTCTCATCTATGTATTTATTAGCAGTGTGAGAACAGACTAATACAGTTACCTTGTACAAGTTACTCAATACCTGTGTAACTCAGTTCTCTATAACATGTGTGTGATAATAATTTGTACTTTGTCAGATTATTAAAATCAGTGAGTTATTATTTATGTAGGGCTTTCATATAGAAAGTGTCATCTAAGGGTTCAATATAATGAATGAATGAGTGAGTGAATAAATACAGAATTCACTGTGTCTCTTCTTTATTCCAGCTAGAGAAAATAGATATTTCTATCTTCACTATAACCCCTCAATTCTTCTCACTCTCCAGCTTATTAGCTCCTATCCTAATTAGGACACTTCAATTTACCTAAAAAACATCTTTGGATAGCATTTCTGTGTCATGACTTGAGTATGTAGTGATAGCATGAATAGCCTATTATACTCATGACTTCAGTATGTAGTGATCTGCCAGACGCTCTATTCCCCCACATACCTGTCTTTTACTTTAGGTTAGGTCCACATGATTCCACCCTACAGAATCAAACCTAGAGTTTCTGGAAACAAGTATTTCCTTAATAGGCATATAGACAGCCCTAATTTCAAAGTAAACTGCAAACTGACACCAGATTGGTAATCTGTAAATCGTGAATGAGTGGGTGAACATGTGCTGTGATTTTTTTTTTTTTTTTTCTGAGATGTAGTCTCACTCTGTTGCCCAGGGTGGTGTGCAGTGGCACGATCTCGGCTCACTTCCACCACTGTCTCCCAGGTTCAAGCGAATTCTCCTGCCCCAGCCTCCCTAGTAGCTGGGATTACAGGCATGCACCACCACGCCCGGATAATTTTTGTATTTTTAGTAGAAACGGGGTTTCACCATGCTGGCCAGGCTGGTCTTGGACTCCTGATCTCAGGCGATCCACCTGCCTCGGCCTCCCAAAGTGCTGGGATTACAGGAGTGAGCCACCACGCCCAGCATGTGCTCTGATCTTAAAACCCAAGTATCATGACTGGGATTCTGCTTTATCTGGAATCAAAATGCCCCCCTTACACCACTGCATGACAACCTACCATCCCCTCACCACCTCCCATCATCATCTCCCACCCCAACTCCCATTGTGGGTTTTGTTGGTTCCTGCCTTTCAGAATTCATTCACAAGCATTCCTCTGCAAAGTGAGGCCAGCAGGACAAGACTTCCTACTCTATCTTACCAACTTTTCTCATATTGCCAAAAAAGCTATTGTTAATGCTGTTACATTAGGATGGAGTGGTGGTAACTGAGGAAAGATGTCATTTTTTTCTTGAAAGAGCCATTTTGGACACTTCTATAGCTTATTGCAAAAGGCCCTCCTCTGTGAAGCAAAATAAATCACTTCTTCCATAGTCTCCACAGTACTTTTCTTACACATTTATCACTATTTAAATTTCCTGCAGCAACTGGGATTGTGTCTTACTCAATGTTCTAACACATTGCCTCACACTCAAATCCTTGTTTGATGTGTAGTTGTATAGCTAAAGAAAATCACCTAACACGTTTTCAAAAAAAAAAAAGTGGTTGTTGTTTCTTCTCTTTAGGTTTGACTTTGCCAGAAACAATAAATCTCTGTGTCTTAAGATCACTGTGCTCATTTTCTTAAACTGTGACAACATATTAATTTAAGAATCCTATTCCCGGACCAAGCTCACAAAAAGCCATTTTATTGACAGGTAGTGGAGCAGGAATTTGGAGTGAGAAATACCTGGGTTACCACCCAGTTCCACTATTTACCAGCTCTGTAAATTTGGAGGAGTTATTTCATCCTTTGACTCTTTGCTTTCTTTGTGTTTAATATGAAAGTAAACATGACATCAGTTGCCTAGGTTTGTGGAAATGATAAAAATAGACAACAGAGGTACAGGATGCATAGTAAACAATAAAAAGTCGCTGCTAGTGTTTTATTTATTAATAGTACTGTCATTACTGAAGTCTCAAAATTATTAAATACTTTCAAAAATATGTTTTGAGGACTGGAGGCACTTGAGAACTATTGAAGACACACACATACACACACACACACACACACACACACACACACACAGTCATTTCTGCCTTGCTAATGTAACACTGGTACCATAGAGCTGAATCCTAATATTACATATCAAGAACCAAAATTTAATTGACATGCAAAAGTCCTTGACAGAATTAATAATTATAATCAAGAAACCATGAACAACCAATTTTAATGATCAGATAAGAAACTATTTCTAGCCACCCGCTATGAGAAGCTAATCTTCCTCCACATCCTAATCTACTGATGCACAGACTCTGGGCTGAAATAAGCTCTTCATAATGAATAATCTAGCCACAGATATAATTCTGCTGAGCAGAAAATGGAGGATTATAGAACATTTCAGAAAAAATTTTTTTTTCTTTTCCCCACTTCCCTTCCCGTTCAGATAATTTTCTTTAAATACCGTTTTGATTGTTGCTGCCACCTTAAGGATGTAAGAGGTTCTGCACACAAATGTAGAAAAAATATTCAATATTGCCCCAAAGAAAATGTACAGGGAAAGGTGTTGGAGTATAACAGAAGCACACAAGACTGGCTGACATTTATACTAAAAACTTTGAAAGAAAACCATCTGCTAATGCAGAATTCATTCATTCTAAAGCCTCAGGATAGGTAATAAAAATAGACCACGCATTCATAACTTCCACAAATGAACCTGCTCTCTCTCTCTCTCTCTCTCTCACACACACACACACACACACACACACACACACACATGCACACACACACACACTGCACCCTTTACACCAGGGTCAGTCATGAGTGTGAGTGTTCTAATAATTCTAAGTATTCCACACAAGAACGCAAAGAATAAAAGCACAGCTTTTCTTGTACAACTAAGGGTCGTCTCAGGTACATTAGGCAGCTCAATCAGAAACTTTGAGACAAAATCTAGGAAATTATGGCCATGGGTTCATGGTGATGCCCATGAACTAATTGGTCTGCTATTCTCCTGATGTAGGACTTCATGGGTTGTATCAGAGAGTAGCTGAAAATAACTCAAAGAAGGCAAGATGGGACCCTGGAACTTGAAAAATACAGTCATAATCTGAGCCAAAGTTTGATGGAAGAGAAGGGAGAGGAAGCTGGAAAGGTGGGAGGGTCAAAGACATGAAGAATTAGGTGCTCCATTCCACAGAATTTAACATATCCTAAAGAGGCTAGCAGGCAAGGAGATATTCTAAAAACAGAAACAAAGAAAAAGAAAAGAAGAGAAGGAAGAAAAGTGAAAGGAAAGGAATGATATAAAGTAATTTATTCCTGCCTTCGCTTATCAAATATTATTGAGCACCTACTATGTGCCAGGCACCATCCTAGATACAAGGAGACAGTCTCTAATTTCAAGAAGCTCAAAATCTCGTAAGAAAGACAGCCTAGCAAGGAGAGAATTTTTCCCAGCCAGAGTCTAAGTTCCTGTGTCTCACCCTGGTTCTTTAGCCTGGTTAAAGTTTCCTGTGGGAAAGAACTCAGGCTCAGGTTTTGGAAAGGCCTGGGTTTAAAACCTTCTCTCCATCCTTACCTCTTCATCTTGGCCAAGTCTCTCAACTTGTCTGAGCTGTAGTTTCAGCTTCTGTAAAATGGGAATATTAAAAGCTATTTAGTGGCATTGTCCTGAGGATTAGTCATAATAAAGAAGCAGCTGGCAGACTTCTGGAATAAGCTCACTGGCCTTCACTGCCCTCATTTGCCTGTGTTCTGAGCAGCCTATGGGAAGGTCCCTTCCCTGCAGCCGACGTCCTCACAAGCAGCACTCTGGAATCTACCATCCTAACAGACAGAGAATGCCAGATCAGAGTCAGAAGAGCATCAGGACCAATCCATCTGGTCTTGCACCCTGTTTACCTCAATCCCTCCCAAAAGCATAAACTGCTAGGATACCTTATTATATATCACCAGGCTCTCTTCTTCTTTCCTCTTCTGTACTTCCCCTAACGTGGTTCAACCTTCCACCCCTCTCCTTCCTTTCACACACACTGTGGCCTCTGGAATAGCCCATTTATGATCAGCAAATATCCTTACACCTACGAACTCTTCCACTGCCTTTCTCCCTTCATCTCCTTGCTTGATTTCACTGTCGCCTACAAAATTTGCTTGTCTTTCATCCTTTTGTTATTTTTTTCTCATCCTTCCCTCTTTTCTGGGGTTAGAAGAAAGGGATGTGTCCTTTTTCCCACAGCTTCTAACAGATGATTTCTCCTGGCTTCCCCTTCATCTTACAAGTTTCTTTGCTCCGTTCAAGAATCTCATTCAGCTATTTGACACTCTTCTACTCCAACCTTCCTGAAGTTATCTGCTGACATCCCTCTGTTATTGAGATATTTTCCTGCTTACGCTCACTCTCTCCATAAACAACCCTAATAACTTCAACAGGTGTGTGGAGGGTCCATCCAGCATTCGTCTCTCAATCCTTCCCTTCCTTGTCAGCAGTGGGTCTTTCTTATATTCTTGCAGGACCCCATCCCACTGCCATATCTGACATTTCATCATCAGAAACTGCACAACATCATACATCTCAATTTCAGGCATACCTCTTATCGGCCTTAACTTCCTATTTTTTTCAGTTCACTTGCTCAAATGCCCACAGTGCACAATTCTGCAATCTGATTGATCCTGGTGCATTCTCAAAATCAATCAGCCTCTTTCTGTTTCCATTTCCTTTCTTATCCAACTTTAAATACAGGCTTTATCATTAAAATTATTAATTGCAAGGACTCTTCTACCCTTTCACAGGTCAGCTCTCAGAAGCAGTCAGAGCGGTTGGGATGTGAACAGAAAGGCTCACAACCTCTCTGACTGCTTCTGAGAGCACACATCTGGACTGACAGGTTACACCACATAAAAAATGGATTCTGTTTCTCAAGTAAGTTCCCTTTCCCATTCTGTGACATGACCACTTTTTCTCACCTTCATCACTCTGCCTTCCAGCTGAAATCCCAGCTTCTTTTCTTGCTTTTATTCCAATCTTTTCTCACATTTCACTAGAGTGATGTTTTAAAATTATAAACCAAATAAAATCATCCTCTTATTTAAAATACTTCATTGATGACTCTCCATTATACTTGGGATAAAATCCAAACTCATTACTTCTACATCCCTTCTACCTCTTCATCCTCATACTCCACCACTCTCTTACTCAGCTCCCATTACTCTACCTGCCTTTCAGTTCCTCAGACACACCACGTTCTTTGCATTGGGCCTCTGCACATGCTGTTCAGCCTGCCTGGAGAACTCCTCCCTGGGGTTTTGCAGGGCGACTTACATCACTCCCTCCAGGTCTAACTCACAGGCCAACATCTCAGGGGTTTTTCTAGGCCATCCTCTCTGATGTTGCTGCTCCAGCCACTACTATTCTCACTCCTAGCAATATGATTTCTTCATAGAACTTATCCCCCTCAGCCAAGCATCATATATTTCTTTGTTAGCATGTTTATTTTCAGTCTCCCTCTCCTCTCTGTAAGCTACATGATGGCAGGGCAATACAGTCTTGTTATAGCTGGCAGACAGTACTTACTGAATACATATTTATTGAGTAAATGAATAAATGAATGAATGCTGGATGATTGAAAAGAGTAATTCAAAGAGAAACGAAATCAATTTCACAAATTTGCTGATTTGCTGAAAACAAAGTTTGTTTCCATCTTTTAGAAAGAGACAGTACGTAAATATGAACCTAGTGCTTCTTAAATGTTTCAACTGAAGAACCCAGAGTGGGTGTAAATATACACACCCAAGAGTTCATGCTTATAAACAGCTAGATATTGTGCTTTTCATAATAATTCTACAAATGATGTTTTCAATTATCCATGTGTAAAACTGCTGATCCAGAAAGAGGGAGCACAGCCATATTGTGGCTTAGAGATCTCTCTTGCACACTGCACTGCAGTAAATTCCAGCTTGAGAAGCAGAGATGAGCATGAATTGTACATGCTCACACCTCCTTTTCAAGGAATTTAACTCATTTTTCTCTGAATCAGTTCCCAATACATAGTAGGTGCCCTGCCCATATTCTCTTTTTGAAAATTCCAGCTCATGCCCAGCCCTTGATGAAAACACATGCTTGAATGGTTGTGTTTCATACCACAAAACCTTGCTCCCTCTAGCCACAGCTCATTGGTCAAGGTATGGACCTCTGACACAGAAGCAATCAATCAGATCTACTCTCTTAAGAAAATAGATATGGCTGGGTACATGGCTCTGAAAAATCATAGAAGATCAGGGTCAACTCTGTGCCATGAAAATTCAAAGCCACCTCAAAAACAGTTACATAGCATGTAGAATAGTGGGAAAAGCCAGCCTACTGACAGAAATAGGAAATAAAGGCAGTGCCTACAGAGAAAGCAGACCTGAGAAAAACAGGTGCCTGAGAGAAGAGAGGATCTTCGCTTTCCACGTTAGTCTCCATTTGTCCTTGCTGCTTCTGGTTCCCAAATCTCATTTCTGCATTCCCTAATTTTATTTATCTGGGACATTTTACTGTTGGCTTTCAAAAAAAACCTATTTTTAAATTTAATCATCTGAATGGGTTTCTGTTTCTCTACATCAAATAAATCGCTGACTTCCATACCAAAAATTTAAAAACTGGAAGAAGGATCATTTCAGAAAAATTGTGCTACAAACCTCTTGTTTTGAGGTTGTGTATATTCATTTTGTTTTTTGAAAATAAATGTTTCTTTGCTTCTGCTGGGAGGCAGTAGGACCCAGGATCCATGCCTAAGTTGTGCCCTGTCCCAAGAACAATGGATCAAGGGAGTGCAATGGACTGGATGTTTGTGTTGCCCCACAATTCATACATTGAGACCCTAATCCTATGCCAGAGTACTAGCTTGATCTCTTCCCACCTCATGAGGATACAATGAGAAGTTAGCAGTCTGCAGCCCAGAAGGGGACCCTCACCAGAACCCAACTGTACTGGAATCCTGATCTCAGACTTCCATCCTCCAGAACTGTGGGTAAAAAAATCTGCTTTTATATGCAGTCTTTGGTGCTTTGTTATAGCAGCATGAACCACGGGTGGCAAGGTAGACATGCTTCTGATGCATCTTTCACAGCTGCTGGGCATAGCCTTCAAGGCCATTCCTAGAAAATCCTAAGGGTACAATTTACCAAGGTTGCCATAGGACAAGAAGCACCATCTGAGAGAGTGCAGACACTCAATGTTAGCAAGAATGAACTGTGAAACTTAAAAAAAAATACTTTTCTAAGCTATCAATATTTTTTTAAATTGACAAACCATTCTGTGAGAAAGATGTGATATTTTCCCATCCTCACAACAGAAAATATTATAAAATTGTTGTCAAACAAAAGTGATTAAATATAACCAAAAAATAAAACCAAAAAAACCATATTAGAGAGATGTGTCAGACAGATGCATATACTTAATAGTAATGAGATTGTATATTTTTGGATTTCATAATGCTGATGGCATTTGTCAGCTCTTTAAAATTTTTTAATTTATAAGTTATCATTTCTTTTCCCATTCTAAATAAATATCAATTTTGTGAGTAATTTTATAGTCATAATTTTGTATTATTTTTTCTTAAAGATAATTTTCAAAATTGCTTAAGTTTCAGACCTTGTGAAACCTGAATCCACCATGTCCACATGTCGCATTAAGAAACTGAGGTATGGAGAGGTTAGGAAAGTAGTCCAAGGTAGCAGAGCTGAAAGTGGAGCCAAGATTTAAACTGAGGAAGTTTGGATCCATTATGTTACATCGTTTTTTGAACTACCACAAAACTTGACTCCACTGAAATGACTGACGTATGTTTGAATGACTTTGAAGGGTTCACATACCTGTTTACCTGATCAGAATCTGAGCTCTTTGGGGCACAATGTATCCTTATTTGTATACCTAACAATTACTTCAATAAAGCACAGTAAAATGCTCATTAAAAGTTTGATCAAAAGATTAATGCATAGGCCAGGCGTGGTGGCTCACGCCTGTAATCCCAGCACTTGGAGAGGCCGAGACAGTGGGATCAAGAGGTCAGGAGATGGGGACCATCCTGGCTAACACGGTGAAACCCTGTCTCTACTAAAAATACAAAAAAATTAGCCGGGAGTGGTGGCGGGCGCCTGTAGTCCCAGCTACTTGGGAGGCTGAGAATGGCGTGAACCTGGAAGGCGGAGCTTGCAGTGAGCTCAGATCGCGCCACAGCACTCCAGCCTGGGCGACAGAGCGAGACTCCGTTTTAAAAAAAAAAAAAAAAAAAAAAAAAAAAAAAGATTAATGCATAAATGAATGAAGGAGTGAACCCTTTTCATTCCCACTTTTCAGGTGACATACTCTGATTCAGAGAAAGACCAAACAGGAGCTGACAGCCTGGAGAAAGCCACACTAACGTCTTTGGATCTGTGATTCCCAGTCCTTAGGTTGAGGACCCTGAGGAGTCAAGACGCAAATACTGGAACCATAATGTGCAACAGCATCTGTAAATAAATGAGTGCATAAGGCCCCTTCTGTGAGGGTAGCCAAATTTATTAAAAATCAAAAGTGTTCATTATATATGGAACAAGTTGATAACCACTGCTTTCCATTAAAATTCAACATTTTTTTCCCCTATCACTCTGAACTAGGGAGACCAGAGTGAGGTAAAATAGTTTCAGCCGGCCGGGCGCGGTGGCTCACGCCAGTAACCCCAGCACTTTGGGAGGCCGAGGCGGGTGGATCACGAGGTCAGGAGATCGAGACCATCCTGGCTAACACGGTGAAACCCCGTCTCTACTAAAAATACAAAAAATTAGCCGGGCAAGGTGGTGGGCGCCTGTAGTCCCAGCTACGCGGTAGGCTGAGGCAGGAGAATGGCGTGAACCCCGGGGAGTGGAGCCTGCAGTGAGCCGAGATTGCGCCACTGGACTCCAGCCTGGGCGACAGCAAGACTCCGTCTCAAACAAAAAAAAAAAAGAAAAATAGTTTCAGCCCAGGGAAAGGGATCGGCATAAAGAGTTGAGATAAACCACTGTGTCAAGCAAAGTGGACAGCCTGGGATGAGGGAGTTGAACAAGCTGGTTCTTTGAAGAAGAGAAATCCAGAATCAAGTTAACAAAAGGAAGCATAAACACAGCAGAGGCCGGTGCACAAAAAGTGACAGAATATGTGATAATATCTAGGAACACCTTTTAAAATGGTTAATGTTCTATCCAACGTTGTATACAGCTCTCCACCTTTGCTGTTTCTAGAATTAATTGTGATGTGGACCAGGAAACCAACAGCACAATTCCCTTGCCAAACAGCCGCAGCTCGCAGGACCTTCCTTTTAGACTCACAGAAAGACACATGAAGCTTGAATCAGCCAAATAGGGCAGGGGAACCAACTTTAACAGCCCAGTGGGGAAGACCCGACAAGAAGATACCAGGCCTCTGGTATCCAGAGCTCCAGTCTGTCTGGCAATCTTTCCTGCATCAACTAGCATTAAAAGCAATCAGTGTGGAAAACTGTCAGGCCTGCATGACATTTTAGTTTTATTCCCTAATGCCTTTTTTTGTGCTTATATGGTGAAAATAGATAGAAATATGGTTAACTTGTGGTTCTTTTTTATTTGGAGTTTGAAGGATTTTTCCAAGTAATGAGAAAGCCTGGCCTCCTGGGACAAAGATATTCATTCAGTGAGCAGAAAAAAATATTGCTCAGAGAAAAATGAATTGAGAGCTCCATGAGAAAGGACCTACTACTGAAGACAATTTTGTTTCTAGAACGACACTAAACCCAGAAGATAAAGCCCCAGAGAAGCTGTGGGCCGGGGGCCCTGTGAAAGAGACATAGGCACAGTCATTTAAGTTATGTGAGCAGAATTCCCAAGCCTGTGAGGGCTCTTCCTACAACCAAGCTGAGACTGGGTGGTATGGGTTGAATTGTACCCCTACCCCCCAAAAAAGGGCATGTTAAGATTCCAAAGCTCCACGCTCCAGAACGTGACCTTACTTGGAAATAGGATCATTGCAGATGTTATTAGTTACTATGAGGTTACGCTTGAGTAAAGTGGGCCCCTAATTCACTATGACTGGTGCCCTTATAAGGAGATGGCCTTGGGAAGACACAGAGACACACAAAAAGGATGCCACGTGATGACAAAGGTGGAGATGAGAGTTATGTGTCTGTATACCAAGGAATTCCGCAGATTGCCAATGAACCACCAGAATGTAGGAGGAGGCAAGGCAGGATTTCCCTGTAAGTTTCAGATGGAGCATGGCCCTGAGAACACATTAATTTCGACCTCCTTTCTAGCCTGCAGGTTAGTGAAACAATAAATGTCTATTGTTTTAAGCCACCCAGTTAATGACACTTCATTATGGCAGCCCTGGCAAACTAATAGGATAAGGTAAGGTGAGCCTAAATAGCCTGGGCCAAGGAAAAGGGTTAGGATGGGAATGTCTAGCTGAAAGAATGGTGTATGCTCACTCTACATTAGGAGGATGGAAATAATTATCATAGTTATGTATGTAACATAAATTCTATTTTTTTAGGAAAGGAGGCTAAAGCAAATCACAGCAAGTCCAAAGTCTTTTTCTATCCATCAAATTGCTTATATAACTTCATCGAAACAATTAGTTTCAAAGAATTCAGTGTTAAATAAAAGAACAATGAAATTTTCCCAAGTGCAATTTCCATTTTTCTTTCTTAAGTGATTTCAAGGCAGGCTAGTATCTTAAGATCATGACTCTGAATAAGAATTATCAAATAGTACATTGTCAGTGTTCTAACCTAGCACACTAATAGTTATGGGCTTTAGCTTTAGCACATCCAGGTTCAAATCCTGACCAAACAAACTAATGACTTGTATGTAACCTTAGGCAAGTTATAAACTCCCTATTATCTGTTATCTTATCTAAAATTAGATATGTGAACAACTGTCATTTATTCTTGCTCATGCATCTGAGGGTCACCCAGGGGTTGACTGGTCTAGGCCAGGTTGGGCTAGGCTCAGCTTCAAGCTGCAAGCAGGTGGAGATCATGTTATCTCCGTGTGTCTCATATCCTCCTTGGACCAGCAGGCTAGTCAGAATGTCAGAAATACAGATCCACCAGATCTTCTTTTGCCCTTAGCTGGTAACTGGCATGCTGTCACTTCTGCTCATATTCTGTGAGTCATAACAAGTCAAATGGCCAAGTCCAACACCAGTGGATCAGGGAAATGTATACTGTCTCTAGTTAGGGGAGAAGGAATTTGCAGGCTGAATATTTGCTGAATAATTCAAATTATCACATTCCCTGAATATGTCTCCTTACCTGCAAAATGGAGATAATAATAGTACCTAATAGAGTTGTAGAATTGTCTTCATTTACAAACTGGAAGATTTCACATAAAGACCCAGATTTTTATCTTTAAAATTAAAAAAAAAATCTGGGATACTAGGTTCACAGTTCCACCTGGCAATAATTGACTGGATATTAAGTGGACTTTCCCAATTTTAGAAGAATTTGCCAGATTCTCTATGTAGTGCAACAATTCATAAATTTAAGTTGCCTCTTCAGCACCTGTCAGCATCTGAGCTATAGCCTTTGCAGTAAACCAAGCCAGGTATATGTGGAGTGTTGTGCTAAAGCCCCCCTCTAGCATATTTTCCCCAAAGAACCTCATAGACGAACACTGTGAGGCCAGAGAAAAAGACAAGAATGAAGTTCAAAAGCGACTCCTCTATGAGGACATCTTCCTCCCACTGGCTGGGCTCCCAACTTACATGATTGGGAAGGTTATTTTATAACATGGATACAAGGGAGCCTTTAGATCCAATAAATCTTTATTGTTCGATTCTCAAAATTCTCTTGGAAATTTCAAAATGCAGGGCTCCTATAGAATCTGCAGTTGACTATTGTGTACTTTGACTTTCTCTTCCCAAACAGGATTTTTAGTGCTGTAACCTGAAAGGCCAGGTACAAGCCGAAGGTTGAATTCTCATTGTCAAACTTGACTGTACATCACAAAAATTAAACAAACGAGGGGATTTTTAGGTCCCCACCCTTACTGAATTTCTTAGAATAGTATACTGAAAATCTGACTTTTTTTTCCTGTTGATTTTGATGAGCAGGTAAATTTAATAACTGCAGGTAAAGATCATCCCAGGAAATGTTGTGATGCAGGAAAGAGCTCAGAGGAAAAAAACAAAGGTTTCTCTTCTGTGCTGTGAATATCACAGACAGGCACTGTTTGGTCTGCCTTTTATTTGAAGTCAATTATCAAATTTTTGAGCTTGGAAAGAGTAGTTGAACAGAATGTTTCCCCATTTGCACAGGAATCTATGTCAACTGTACTCCTTTATGATAGCCTGAGTGTGATTCCTCAAAGAGTAAATAAAAGCTAAGTGATTACTTTTCAAACTGTTATTCCCTGCTGTGAGCATTATCCAATGAAAGCTATATCGTAAGATCTTCTATTACCTCAATAGCAGCAAATTACACATGAGAAGATCACAGGCCACAGCATAGATGTACATTGGTAAGGCTGTGAGCCTGGATACTCATCATTTGATAGTCATGAATCCATAAAACTCTAATTACCTGGGTATTTGAATGTCCTGGGATTTGCATTTCTTACTGGGACGCCAGCATTTAAATTTTATTTTTATAATCTAACACCTATAGACAAGTTATATAGCAATGAACTCAACTCTGAAAAGTCAGTATTGCTTTATAAAAGTAATATCAAAAGTTATTTAATAATACAGATGCTCAATCCCTCCTGCAAGTCCAAAACTTCTTCAAGAAGTTTCAAAAATCAAACTTTTCTTCATAATTCATTTGGCAGTAAAACCTGACCTCAACTGAAATTCTTTTGTGGCAAAACCTGACCTGGACTGGTGTGAGGCTATTCATGGTCTTTGTATAAACCACTCAGTGTAAATATTTACACATTTCACTAAAGAACTATTAATGTGTTTGATTATGAGATGTTTCTTTAGACCCACTAATGGTATCACACCCAGCATATGTATTATATTACCTTTATAACAGCTGAATGTTTTTAAATTGCTAAATACACCTTTCTCCAAGAGTTTCAGAGAAGAGACTCGGGACCTGGGTTATTGAAATAACTTTTAATTTTCATTTTATAAAGTAATCATATTTTCAGAATTGGAAATCAAGCATATCCATTTGACTGCTCATACAGTCATGAATATTATCTGGCACTTACTCTTCAGTGATGAATAGGCAAACAAATTCATTGTCAGAATCAATAAACCTTAATTGAGTGCCTACTATGTGTAAGTACCTTTGCTCTGTGTTCTTATATTCATTACCTAATCTGATTTGTAGTCCTTGTCTGAGTAAGGTATCCTCAAACTACATCATTAAGAATAAGAAATTGAGGCTCAGTGAGGTTTTGTGATTAGTCCAGGATCATGCAGCTGGTAACAAACATAACTTGACTTCAAAGCTAGGTCACCTAAAGATAATTTTCAAGATCATTAAGGAGATGGGCCCAAAATTAGATAATGTTCACAATACCCAGAAATGCCAGAAGTGGGGGCATGTGGATTTCTGTGTTCTGCCTTCACTAAATCTCTGTCTAGTGATGAGCCCTCATGTTCTACCATAATATATGCGGACATCTTCCATTTAAATACAACCACTTAACCTCCAACCTCCATTTTGCACACTTCTGGTCAAATATCTTAGAGCAAGGGAATAGTGCTGCCTTGACACTAATGGCAGTCCAAGAATTTAATGACACTTGTGTACCCGGCCATTAGCCACTCTCGCTGCCTTCTCACTTTAATTTAAGGAATTTTAAAATTCAAATGACAAACCTGTTAATCTACTTAGACATAGCAATCAAACAAGACCATGACCCATTGAGCTTCGAAACCCTCTGTATAAACCCACTGCTCCTGCTAGGGTCTGAATGTCAGTTTCCCCCCAAAACTCATATATTGAAATCCTACCCCCCAAGATGATGGTATTAGGACATGAGGTCTTCTAGGAGATGATTAGGTCATGAAGGTAAAGCCCTCATGAATAGGATTAGTGATAAAAGAGGCTTCAGAAAGCTGCCTTGCCCCTTCAACCATGTGAGGACACAGCAAGAAGGTGCCATCTGTGAGAAAGCAGTCCGTCGTCAGACACTAAATCTGCTGGTGCCTTGATCTTGGACTTCCCAGCCCCCACAACTGTGAAAAGTAAGTTTCTGTTGCTTATAAGCAACCAAGTTTATAGTATTTTGTTATAACAGCCCAAGTGCTAGCATGCTCATGCTCACACGCACACTCTTTCTCTCTCTCCCTTTCTCTCTCTCTGTGACAACAAAAGTGAGAAGTCGGCCATCTGCAAGTCAAGAAGAAGAGCCTTCACCAGAACCCAACCATGCTCACACCCTGATCTCAGCCATCCAGCCTTCAGAACTGTGAGAAAATACATTTCTGTTCTTCAAGCCACATCATAGTCTATGGTATTTTGTTACGGCAGCCAGAGCAGACTCGACATTTGGGATGCGGAAAGATGGCTGAAATATGTCACTAAAATGTACCACTCCAGTCTAACTGAAACTTTGTAACTCTTTAATCAGAATCTCCCTTTTTGCCATCCCTCCTCCACATCAGCCTCTGGTAACCACATTTCTACTCTCTATTTATATGAAATAGACCTTTTAATACTTTTATATAAAAAGCATATTTTTATACTTTCTTTTTTATACTGAAATCATATAGTATTTGTCTTCCTGTGCCTGGCTTACTTTACTTATAAATTTTAGTGATCTATTGCACTGTATGGTCACAGTAATAATAATGTATTATATATTTAAAAATTGCTAAATACTAGATTTTTAATGTTCTCACCACAAAAAAGTTGGTGAGGTGATAGATATGTTAATTGGCTTGACTTAGTCTTTCTACAGTGTACAACTGGGCAAAATATCACATTGTACCCTATCAATACATATAATTATTATTTACCGATCTAAATAAGTTGTTAAAAAGAATGAAATGTGTTTGTTTCATTAGAACTCCACAGGTACCTTATAAACACTAGGAAATATTCCATGAATATATGGCTTTCTGAAATAAAAACAATTATCAAAACAGTAATCATCACTGAGTGCCTACAATATACCATGTAAGTCATATTATCTCTGATTTCCACCATGCCTATGTGTTTCATTCTTGTGAGTTTTTGAGTCCAGATGCTTTAGAAAGCTGTCCAGTAGTGACAAGCAGCTAGTCAGCAGTAGGGTAGGGATTCAAGCCCAGGTTGGTTTGAATTCAAACCCTATGTTCTCTACTCCTATCAATTTTGCCTTTCCATAAAAAAGAAGGAGCACACACAAATAGGTTTTAACAGAAGCCATAGGCAGCCTTTACTGTAGGCATAGAGAAGGCTGCTCACCTGACATGATAAAACAATCGACTCAGCTCAAAATATCTCCCATTACTCATGTCTAAAATTCCTATCACAAATTCACTCATTACGTTGAGCTTTGGCCATTTCTAACATCTCTTTTAACTTTCTTCATCGAGAAATAATAAATGAAACCCCAGATAGGTGAAGTCCAATGTGTTTGTCTGTTCTGTTCAACTAACAAACACTAAACACCTATTATATACAAGGGACGGCATTAAACTTGCCAGGAATGTAAAGAATCATAAGACACTCTTCTGTGGTCCCTTACAATACAGAGCTGTCAGCTATTGAGAGAAGGAAGCTGGCACTTACGATGTCTAAATGTACAAAGTACTTTCAAGTAAATTATACCCCAAAAAAGCTAGTATTGACAAGTGCTTAAGAAAAGTCCTGATATCCCCCACATATCAGGACTCCCTACAAATGTGATACATACATGTTAGTTTTTATTATTTGAACTTGTTGCCACATGCATGCTCTATTTTTAAAACATTAAGAGTAAAAAGAAAAAAAAAGTTAATTGGAACTAAATCTGAATTGAATCTGAATGTCTCTCAGTTGATATGCTGATTTCAATACAAAATGTTTCTAATTTTCTTTTACTTTGACCAATACCTACCAAGAAGACAGAACTTTGTATTTTCTCCTCATCATGCATTTATTCATTTAATTCCATATTCTCTAACTCTGTATGAGATCTTTATGGAACATGTAAGGCCTTATATGAGGCACATAGTACCATTCAAGGATAATTCAAATAAATAATATAACAGATTTACAAACAATGTGCTATGAGTTTACCCAATAGAAGGAAGGCTCATATCTAGTTAGAATGCAATCGGGCTACTCTTCCAGCCTACCTGTCTAGGATGGAGCCGAGAGGCAGACTGGTACCTGAGCGACCCCACCCAGAGCATGCCAGCACATGACTACAGTATATGGAGCCAAAATACTAGCAAGAAATCACATATCACCCAACATCCCTGGCTCTCCTTATACAGTTATCTAGAAGAAACAGGCTTAGGTATGCAGTAAACTAAGTAAGTCAAGATGACAATGGAAGAGATGCTCTGGGTGCACTGTTAAGACAATGTTCCCTCTGGGAACTGAAGGAGGTGGAGATGGCTGTAGGCTGATGCAGGCAGGCAGAGACTTTTTCCATTATGAACCAGACACCCAGGTTTACACAGGCATTTTCTTCTCTAACAGGAAGAGCAAGACCGCTAAGATTCGGTTTTCATCTTTCCCTAGTGCTACTCTCCTGACACTTATTACAAGTCAAGCAGCAATACAGCACTGTCCTCAAGGGAGAATATTCTCTCATTTTGACTGTCATGTCAGAGAGAAGGCAGAGGAAGGAGGTTATTTGTTCTTGGTGTAAATTTCTTTTCACTTCCTTTATGGCCAAGTCAGAAACGACCAAGGCCATAGAACTTGCAAGTGGGCACAGCTGGTGAAAGGACTCCATGCTTTCTGCACACGCACTCCACTACCTAGCAATT
This sequence comes from Homo sapiens, assembly GCF_000001405.40. NCBI lineage: Eukaryota > Metazoa > Chordata > Mammalia > Primates > Hominidae > Homo > Homo sapiens. Next base: position 36,931,148 of record NC_000011.10, on the reverse strand, counting down.
AATTTCTAAATCCATCATTTAATTATTAGCCCTAAAGGACACTGAAAATGAACACCACTGCAGCATTTACATATTTAATCGGATTAGACCGCTGACTTTCAGATCCTGGCAATTAACTGGTCTCCATGTCCCTTTTTCAATACTTAAATTACTTCTCTCTTATATTGGGGTGCCTGTGTTCACTCTGTGATATTTTATGTTGAAAAATTAATTGTTCTATTTCTGCATCATTATATGCATAGGCTATTGCAAACAAACTTACCTCTTGCTGTCCTAAATAATAATGACTTAATGAAGAAACTGTGCAAGGTTCTAGCTAATGAGATATATGTTTATAACTACAAACATCCTATTTTCCCTTTAAATAGGAAATCAATTAAGTGAAATCAGATGAACCAGATTTCTTTCCATTTATGTAAGGTCAATAAAGAAGGCATCCTTCCAAAAGAATATAGTTTTTGCTTCTCTATTGGCTAATTAAACCAGCATGTCACACAATCCTTAAATGTAGCTCTATATTTCCAGATATTATCTAAAAAGATCTATGAGTTTTAACTTGAACAGCCTAAATTCGAGACTCAAAGCAACATTGACAACAAAGCAAAGCAGGTTTAATATACTCTTATTGTGAAATAGCCCTGCTGTTGGCAAGGTCTCCACATCTTTCTGGAATGATCTCAAATGGGACCATTTGGGAACCAGAAGAGATCAGGAATGTGCATAAAGTACGTTGTTCCCTTACAGATGAATTAAAAAATGTAACAGGCAGAAAGACAGTATAGAATGGTTTAAGAGGACAGACTCTATAGTGGGTAAGAGCTGGCTGCGTGTCCCAGATGTGTCATATTAAGTCCACATGTATGACCTCAAGCAGGGTATTAATGTCCCCTTAATGATAGCTACAACATCTCTAAAACAGGAATAATAATGGCATCCACCCTAGAGGGTGGCCAGGAGGATTAAGTGAGAAAATGCAAGTAATAAATTTAGCCCAGTGACTGGTATATAGTAAGAGACAACGTAACTTCAGTGGTTATTTTAATACTTCATTGATAGGCTATGTCTCCCACTGACCTAGGCCTGAAATGACTGTGGTCCTTATTAAATTTTGAAACTCTCAGACTTTGTAAAATCTCAGAAGGCAAGGATGGTAGCAATGGTTTTAGTACCAGTTCAACACTCAAAAACTGTGTGATCTGGAACTCAGTCTAATTCTATTATAAAATACATAAGCTGATTCCCACATTAAAAAAATTAATATTACTAACCAGGCCAAATTCATTCATTCCTACCTAATCTACAAGGGTGAGATTTTGAAAAAAATACATTTGAGGGATATAGGCAAGACCTTGAACTTGGGGTAACTGTCATGGTTCTCCAGAATGCCACTGATCAAGTCTTTCAACCTGGAGCCAACGGGAACTACTTCAATAAAGAACAAGCCATGTGTAAGTCTCCAACTTTATTCATTTCACTTAACAAGCATGTATTGAGGGGCTACTTCATGCCAGGAGCTGGTGTTTTTTTGTTTTTTTCTTCTGAAATTCCAACAAGTTCAACCCCATGCTAATTAAGCAGAAGAAATTATCTGGATACTTCTCAAAAATCTCAAGTGCCAAGTTTCTGTTGCCCTCAGCAGCTGCAGCAAATTAGAGCAGAAAGGCTTTCAAGGAAGGGTTTGTAAGCTCAAAAAAAGATCTATTTTTAAAAAATTACTTTTCTGAATTTTAAAGAAATCCATGCTTACATTTAAATTTTTCAGACAATACAGAAAGGTATAAGTAAGAAATAAGTCTCCCATTGCCTCCCCACCCAAAGATCACTACTGATAGTCTACAGATTTTTATAAGCAAATGTATAGAGATACATATATATAACTATAAACTGCTTTGCAAGATGATTTTTTCACTAAATATATAATTGTGTCTTTCCATATCAACATAGGGGTTTAAAAGTGCATTATCACTTTTAATGCCTTCATTTTTTTCCTGTGTATGGAAGTGCTGTGTTATATTTTACCAAATTTTCTCTCTGGACATTTAAGTGGTTTTCTTTTTTTTTTCACGGATTCATTTAATTACTCAACAGCTAAGTATAGACTACCTGCAATGTGTCTGGAATTATTTCAGGATGAGAAAATACAGCCATGAGAAAGAGAGGCAAAATTTCTCTCCTCATCAACCTTACCATCTGGAGGGGAAGACAGTAACAAAATAAAGAGACAAAGACAGAAGACAGATGACTATGTTTGATAGTCAGGAGATAAATATATTTTATATATGCTTCTTCGTGCATTTGTCCAGCTACTGAAATTGGAAGGTCTTTTTTATTATTAAATTATGACTAATTTTTCTACTCTGTAGTTGATAATCTGGACAAAATAATCCTGACAAGTATACAATGTCTTCCAGGTGAGCTGTCATTGTCCATGCCCTAAAAACCTCTCTGGATCAGGTTGCAATAAGAGGAAATGAGTTTTCCTCAACCTCTGGCTCCTTGCTGCCTACTGAAATGTCAGTCTTTCAATCATCAGCCAGATGTGTCCCCACTCATTCTAAGTGGAAACCCAGAGTGTTTTCACAGGCATTTCTCTTTTCCAAATAAAAGATTACATAAGCAGCTAACATACTGTCTCTTACCCAAACGCCTACTACTATTAATGAGTTGCAGTGGTGGTTGTGATTAATATTTGATAGCCATCCACCTAACTGTCCTTGTGAAATATTTGTTTTCTTTTATTACTAGTGGTGCAAACTGGAGTGCTGACTCTTCTTCATCTGCCCAATCAGGTATCTGAAAAACCAAGCTGCTCTGGATTTTGTGTGTTGTCAGAATCTGCAGTGAATTCAAGGATGAACAGAGTAATGCTGGAGATCAGCAAGGACATGAAGAAAAATCTTCTCTGTTAGCCTGGATCTGACAGTTCTATAATAAACTGTCACTGTCTGCTGCTTCAAAGATGCTGTCAACTAACAGAAAGGGCAGACAGACCTTTAAACGTCACCAAAAACCCAAGTACAAGTGATGTAACCAAACAGCTAATATTTACTGAGCGTCACCTATGTACTAGGCATAGTTCCAAATGCCTTATGTATAGTAATTTATAACATATCTTTGGGGTAGGCACTATTATTACCCTATTTTTAGAGAAAAGGAAACTAAGGCACACAGAAGTTATTTGCCCATGAGTGAAGACAGTCATCAGTTCCCACAATTTGCCTCCAGAGCTGTTACTCTTAAATACTGCAGCACAAGCTTACACACACACACACATCACACATCACTCATACAAGGAACAGACCATACCACACACACATCACACATCACACATCACTCATACAAGGAACGGACCACACCACAGACATGTATCATATATATATACGTGTGTGTGTGTGTGTATGTGTGTGATCTGTGTATATATAGGACATATATATATACCGCAAACCTGCCACATACCACATATCACATAAATACCACACAAATGTACACATGCACACACCACACACTCAACCAAACACTCATCCATACATTCCCTATCCATCCTCAAATTGAGCCAATTACTAAGTAGTAAACACAAAAGGTGAACTACTTATGAAAAAATTTCAAGATATGCTAAGTCCATTCCTTCTGTAAGGTGGAGGTGGGAGACTACATCCTTCACAGGTGTATTAGCCCATTTTCATACTGCTATGAAGAAATACCCAAGACTGGGTAATTTATAAAGAAAGAGAGGTTTCATGGACTCACAGTTCCACATGGCTGGGTGGGCCTCATAATCATGGCAGAAGGCAAAGGAAAAACAAAGGCACTTCTTACATGGTGGCAGGCAAGAGAGCATGTGCAGGGGAACTGCCCTTTATAAAATAATCAGATCTCATAAGACTTATTCACTATCACAAGAACAGAATGGGAAAACTCGCCCCCATGATTCAATTACCTCCCACCAGGTTCCTCCCATGACATGTGGTAATTATGGGAGCTACAATTCCAGATGAGATTTGGGTGGGGACACAGCCAAACCATACCAACAGGGTTGACTTGAGAATTATATGTGATATACGGGCAAAGGTTTGGTGACACAAAGGTGCTCTACAAACGTGCTATTCTGCAGCTTAGAGATCTCAGACGAGGTTTGGGCTCAGGAGGATAAGTTGCAACCACATCCCTCACTCAGGTGTCTAACAGTTCACAGCAAGTCACAGAGCACCTGTCTGCAACTGAAAAGGTGGCCCTAACTTTTCAGGCTGCCATTCAAAGCATTTAGCTACTACACATCTCTGGGACTTTCCCATATGAATGCTCCTCTCTGGCATACTGAATGGATCTTTTTCCTTTGTGCATTCCTGCCTGTGCTAGATACGACCCCTTCTTCTTTTTTTCCTACCAAAACCCAAACCGTCCACCCTGGCCTAGCTCAGTTTTTCCAGTACCATGAAGTTTCCTCTGACCCTTTCATCCCCTGCAAACCTCTTCATCTTCTAAATGTCTACAGCCTGTGTTATCTGTATCACCAGTGTGGCATTTTGATTGTTAGCTATGTCCTAAGATTGAAATGCTGTATCGTATTCTAGTTGCCCAGAGACTCTTTTCCCATTTATTATTCAATGACTTCCATTGCTTTAGAGGGATGGCAAAACAGCAATTATTGACTTCAAGGTTCAAAATTGAATTCTGAAACTTAGAAATAAAAGGACTCTTAAAAGAAAGGTGCTTTTGATTTGTGAGACCCTAGCTTTTTGCAAGAGAAAGGGTTTGTTGCATTCTAAAAGCTTGCCTTTAGCTATTAAGAACTAAGACCCAGAAGATATATAAACTTTATTTCATAAACATAGTTTCAGGATAATTTCATAATGACATAAAAGCAAGTTTTCCCATCCAAACTAAGATGAATTGAATGACTGAGAAAGGAGAAAAACCAGGGAGGAGAAGTGATAGCTCTAATAGCAGGGTAGTGTTGTTACCCCCTGCAATCTTCAGCCTGAGTCTTGGAAAAACTCCAGAGAGGCTTCAGGGACTAGAGAGTAGTTGTGTCTCACTTCCCAGAAGCAGGATCCTTATAGATGTCTCTACACACAGAAAGTATTAGAGCATTAACATCAAAACGGTAGTGCAGCAGGTCTACCATGAGAAGGATTAGGATCTTCCTAATAAGTCTACTAAGATAGCAGAGTTCCATCCTATGTAGCCTAACTTAGTTGATTTCTCATGCACACCTCTCAATAAATCAGATTTGCAAGAAATACATCATTTACATTCAAACAAGAAATGTTCATTTAGATGATTTCATCTCTTTTCCTCAAGCTGGCATATGTGCATAGACAGCCTAAAATGTATTTGGTTATACATTATAATGAATACATGATTAAGCATACTGAACTGGGTTATGTAAAGTGAATTCTTTGTGGTTTATAGTTGAAGGATGGATTTTTGCCAACTTATGAATGATTTGGCATAATTTGCCCATGACTGAATGGAACTGGCCATTTGTCTAAATTTGCATACTTCGCAGATTTGCTAGGTGGAGGTATTTTTTAATCTCACTTCTATTATTCTTCTATTTCTTATACTCTTTTTCAAAGAATCACTTCATACATCTTCATTGATCTCTGATATTGCAAATAAAGCCTTTTCCACAGGCTAGGAATTGTGGCAGTCTTAGGTCTCCAGGCAGGGGCCAAGAAGAAATTTATTTTTTTAAAAAAGTCTTCAAGTGTTTATGCATTGACATTCTTGCAAAGGACTAACAGCCCTTTCTAGAGCCTTATATATTATAATAAGTTTGGTTACTCGGTTTTTTAGATCACATAAATCCAGAACTCAGAAGTTAGAAGTTTAAGGGAGACTAGAAGAAGGACACACATTGATGCAGTGGGGACAGCTGATAAAATGAAAATTCTGGCAGAGGCTCCAAATCTTGGCAATAATGTAATAGTTGCTAAGTGGTCTTATATTCTAAGTCTGGTACAGGACCAACTAAGAGTACTGGCTAGGTAATTGTAAAACAAATTCAGCTGGCAGAAGCCCAGCATTCTCTTGGAGAGCATTTAAGAGTTGAGGGGGAATGGCTTTGAGAGAGAGGATTTCTTGGGACAGAGTTGTCACTGCCTTGTGCATTTCCAGACCCAGTGGTGGAAGAAGGAGAAAGATCTCTTTTTCACCTTCAATCAAATTAGAGAGGCTACAGAGCTTGCTATTTGTCACTGAGACTTTGATATCTGTGATGATGGATATAATTCTTCTGCAATATGGTGGCCACTAGCCATATGTGACTACTGAGCACTTGCAACATGGCTAGTGCAGCTAAGGAACTGAGTTTATAATTTCATTTTGTTTTTATCAATCTACATTTAACTTTAAATAGCCACACATGACTATGGGATACTTTATTGAAAAACACAGTTCTAGTGTATTATTTATGAATATTTATAAGGATAATAGCTAATACATATCAATAACGTACAATGTACCAACTATTAACAGGAAACCCTTTCCTTCTGTCGTTTTTATCCTTCCTACAGCCACTTGATATAGGCACTGTCATTATCTTGATTTTATCCATTAGGAAACCAAGGCACACAGAGAGTAAGGGACAGATTCAGAATCTAGAAGATTGAACTCTGAATTCTAGAATCTTTGCTTTTAAACATTGCTCTCTCTTTTGTAGACACATCCCTTTGATTCCCACCCCCTTCCTCATTCCTCTTGTTAATGAGAAACAGTAGCAGACACCGTCTCCAAAGACTCACTTGTAACTTTTGTAATGTATTTTCTTTCAGTTACACAAACTTCTAATCTTTCTCAACTACTTTGGTATATATACATGTATTTTTATATGCAACTGTGAGGCAGAATAATTCCGTTTGTCTTATTTTGTAATCATCTTTGTTGAATAGTAAGTTGATTCTTTGAAGATGAAAAGATTTTTATCTTTGAAATATATGTTTGGGAGGTCCCTGAGTACCCTCATATGTTTGATATTCAGAAACCTGAGAATACATTATCACCTCTACCTTGGAAAAATCTCATTTGGTCCATAATGAGAGTGAGGCTTGGGGGTTTTTTGACATGGTTTTCTATGCAGAAGGCACTTTCTGCTTTGACACATTAGCAAGCCACAGAGTTTCATTTGTACATTTTATTTTCCAAATGGGATAATTATATAAGAAGAAAGATTTATGCTTTTTTAACCTAGTTTCATGGAAAGCCACTGTTGATTCTATATAAGCAAGGATATTCAGCCACTGATTCCAGGTTGTTTATTATACTGCCTCCTCACTTACTATATATATCTTAGGGGTACACCACCACATGATTCCATCATAGCAATAATATAGCCCCCAATAACCCATAAATCAACAGTTAAGCTGAGTTTAAGATGAAGGCCTGGAGTAGGATAAAGGATCAGCTGGACTCAAATCCTGGAGTCGCTGTTCATTATCAATATGATTTTTAGGTAAATGCCAAAATTAGGCCAGTGCCTAAATTTTCTGATTCACAAAATGGAGTTCCTAATAGTTCTCGACACATAGAAGTTTTATATATATATATATATATATATAAAATCTTTATTGAGATAATTTACCTACCATAAAACTCAGCCTTTTTAAAATGTCAAATTCAGTGGATTTTGGCACATTTTTAGTCATACAACGGTCAACATTATCTAACGTTAGGGCATTTTCATCACTCCAAGCAAAACTCCACCCCTTTGCTTTCCCCCTTTACTATGCCACTGGTAACCAATAAACTAGATGTTGTCTATAGGACTTTGCCTATTCTAGATATTTTATGTAAACATCTAGAATGTCTTTTGTGACTGGTTTCTTCCATTTGGCATAATTTTTTCAAGGCTCATCTGTGTTGTGGTATCATTCAGCATGTTATTCCTTTTCATTGCCAAATAATTAATATTACATTATATGATTACATTCTCTTCATTCATTTATCAGTTGATGGACATTTGGGTTGTTTCTACCTTTTTGTTATCATGAATGATGCTACAATGAATATTTTAGTATAATTTTTGGGTAGACATAGATTTTTCATTTTTCTTAAGTACTCATCTATGAGTAGAATTTCTGAGGCATAGAGTTTTCATTTGTATTTCCCTAATGACTGATAGTATTGAATATCTTTTCATGTGCTTATTAGCTATTCATATATATTTTTTCAGAAATGTTGATTCAAATCCTTTGCCTGTTTTTAACTGGGTGATTCACCTTTTAATTGTTAAGTTGTAAGATTATATATATATATTTTTCTGGATGCAAATCCTATGTCAGATATATAATGTGCAAATATATTTTCCTACTCTATGTGTTGTTGTAGAAATCTGGATCAATGTTCTAGTTCTGAGCAATTATCCTGCAAATTCTGCCAGGTGATGGGAATAAATAGGATGCCCATCATTTGAAGGTTTTTCTTTTGGTAAAGTAAGATCAAGGGAGCTTACCAAAGCCAAGCACCATGCTCCCAAATCCTAGTAAGCAAAACTATATAGCTACCAGTTATCTGGGTGTGTCACAAGACATCCTTTCCTCAACCTTGTTGGAGGAAAACTCAGTTCCACAGCTTCACCTTAGCATTGGGCTTAGGATAAACAGTCCATGCAACCCCCCAGAGACACATTTTTGTCCCAGACTCAATTCCAAGCTTAGGGTCAAAGCCCTAAGAAAGAAACTGGATCTGAGGGATCCAGAGGCAAATGACAACAGTGGTTAAAAGGCACAGCGCGGGTGAGCGTGGCTGATTCCTCCAGATTAAGCCAAGCCCAAGCTTCCTGTTTCACGGATAAAGGCCACGTTAGTATCCATGGCATAAATGAGGTCTTGGGAAGTCAAGCCTACTGATAGCATGGGAGATACAGCATATGTGGGTAAGAGCAGATGATTCTCACTCCCTAGATCCCCCTGCTTCATGGGTGCAAGTCGCTTTGACACTAATGGTGGTGCCTGCCAAGGTCACTGGAACTCAGGTATGCAAGGAGGGAAGAGGGAAAGAGAATGCTCTTCCCTCTCTCCCTTACTTACCCCAGGTATCTGCTAGGAAGGGAAGGGAATCAGGGATGCCTGCTCCCCTCTCTGTAGATGGGTAGCCATTCATCTTCAGTCTGTATCCCTTTCAAATGCATCCTAAACCCCTTGGACTCCTTTAAAAGGCGCCTTTTTTCCTTTCTTCTCCTCTGTCCTGTCTTCACTAATAGGTAATTTTGTCTCCATACTATGAGACACTCCCCTCAGATGCATACTTCAAACTGGAAAGAGTTAATTTCCCAAACCTTAAACTGGCTGGCTTAGGATTGGGCTCCAAGGAAGGGAAACCAGAAGCCCAACATGCTGGCAAAAGGGTAACCTTTTGTCTACCAGTCGAGCTTTTTGGCCTCCCTGTGCAAACTGGCAAAAGGCCTCAGAATTTTTGAGCTGTCCTTACCCCTCCCCTTGTTTCATTTTGATACATGTTTTCTAATAACCTGGTTTGTCTGTTCTTGCCTTCAGGCCATCAAACTCCAAACAGTCATGCAACTGGAGCGTCTGACAATGTCCCCTTCTGCAGGGAATGCTTAGATAGACCTCTGAGGGAGCTCTGACTGTCATTTCCCCAAAACAGTGCCCCCTGACAGCAGGAAGCAGTTAAGATGGGTCTTTGTCCTTATCCTTAATCTAACAGCAATCAGATGTACTTGTTTAGAGGGGGGAATGAGACACCCCCGGAGAGAGGGGGGTCCCTGGAGAAACTCCAACCAGCCTGCCCACTGAGATGGAGCCTCGGGAAGTTCACGCCCTTTGCAGCAGGAAGGAGTCTGTCCCCTCCTCTTCCTGTGTGGAAACTAGGATTCAAACTGCCAGGTGGGAAGTGCTCTAGCAGGGACTATGGCCTTGTGAGAGTCCCTGTTTTCCCCACTTTTTTCCCTTTTCACCAAATAAAACCCTGCTTCAGTCACCCTTCAAACTGTCTGTGAGCCTAATTTTTCGTGGCAGTGGGACAGACAAGGAGGCCATCTTTAGTTGAACTAAGGAAAAGTCCTGCAACATTGTCATTTCACTTTTCTGATGGTAAACTTTGAAGTACAAAGGTTTTCTTTGTGATAATGTCCATTTATCTAAGTTTTTCTTTTGTTTTTGGTGTTTTTTGTGTCCTACCTGAGAAGCTATTGTCTAAACCAAGGTCACAAAGGTTTATACCTGTATTTATGTTTTCTTCTAAGATTTTACAGATTTAGCTCTTCTATTTAGATCTATTATTCACTTTGAGTTCATTTTGGATAAGATGTGAGGTAAGGAGTCCAAATTTATGCTTTTTTGTGTGAATATCCAGTTGTCCCAGCACAAATTGTTAGAAAGACTATTATTTCTCAATTCATTGAATGGTCTTGGTACTGTTGTTGAATCAATTGAATAAAAGTAAGAGCTGATTCCTGGATTTATAATGCTATTCTGTTGATATTTATATTTATCCTTATGCCAGTACCACAGTGTCTTAATTACTATAGCTTTATGCTAAGACTTGAGACCAGGAAGTGTGAGTCCTCCAACTGTATTCTTTTTCAAGACTGTTTTGGTTATTCTAGGTCCCTTAGATCATTTTAAGTTCAGGTTGTCACTGACTACACAACAGAGATCTGGGATTTTGATAAAGATTGTATTGAATGTATTTGTTAAATACTTTGTAAGAAGCTGAATGATGTGGGGGAAAGACTACTAGGCTAGAACTTTTAAAATGTGGGTTCTCGCCCTTTGAAAAAATCACTTTCTATTCTTATGACTTCATTTTCTTTATCTGTAAAATATGGAAGTCAGGCTATGTTGATTGAAAGATCCCTTTAAATTCAAGATTCTATGGTTCTCTATCTTGGGCCTGAAAATAATCTCAACTATTTGGTAGAAATAATCCAAGCTGTTTTTTTAATCAATTATTTTGACCTATCAACATTCCTGGATACCTGGCAAACATAATAACTATGGAGATAGAGGAAAATCCTAGTTTGAAGAAATTCTTTCTTCTACTAGACTAAGTGTAAGCTATTTTCAACCAAACAATCTGTTAGGAGCCTGTAGTTACTAATGGGCTCTTACACTGCTGTTTCCATGAATGTCCTTGTTTTGTAAACTATATTTGGTTGGTGTACAGCCATTTAAAATAAAATCTGGCTATATGTCAAATATCTATAATTTCACCAAGCAGAACATAAAAGCCAAAAAAGAACATATGCCAATTACTATTTTAATGAGTATAGATTATCTCAATGAGTAAATATATAAATATTTAAATATATAATTATATAACCCTATTTCTCCTAAGTTCTAGGGTGACATTCATAATAACAAACACAAGTAGTGACAAGTACCCTTTTTTTCTTCTTTTTTTACTCTCCAAATAAACTATAGCATTAACTAACTAAATATATTGGATGGTCATGTTCAAATTTTTTAAAGGTTTAAGCATCTATTAAGCATGTAGCATGAACATAAAAGATACAAAGATTAAATAATATATAGTTTTTCCTCTCAAAAAGCTCACTATCTAATGTACTTGAGAGATCTAGATATTAAAAAAGATAATTAAAATACAATGTGAGAAGTGCCATAACAGAGGTATAAAAACTGTTTGGGGGATACAGAGTCTAATAGTTTCTGTAGGAAGGGAAGGTAGAGGTGGGAAACAGTGATAAATCAGGCAAGACTTCAGAGCTGAACACACATCTGTACTGGTGTGGGACATGGGAAACCAGGAGGAGTTGTGGATCATTCCAAGATGTCAAGCTTGGGTATCTTGCTGGATGGTGTGGAACTTTAGACAAATTATCCTCATCAACAAGCAAGCTCTCATGATTTCACTGGAGTTGAACTCCAGAAAAAGAAAAACCCAAGCCCATATTGTTTCCTCCCTCACCCCAAACTAGAAGAATTCCAAAGTACAACTTTGAAGTGTATTTTTTATATTCAATCTGTGCAACTGACACCTCACACAGCTATCAAAATACCCTACCCTCACTGACAAAAATTCAAATAAGAATCGAGCTATAATAAAGGTTACTTATTCCAAATGATACAATATTTATTTCTCTAATGAAAACTTTCTCCTTTCTCCCATCATAGTGAGTTTTTGATATAGAGATAAAAATGATATTGCCTTTTATACAATATCAAACCAACAATTGTCAATTTCCCTCGAAAGTATCTGAGCAGAAGTGGCTGTAGTAAATCAGACAGAATAGATTTTAAAACAAAAAATTTATTAGAGATAAAGAGAAAAATTATATAATGATAAAAGTACAATACCATCAGGAAAACATAACCTCATATATGCGCCTAACAGCAGAGACCCAAAATACATCAAGCAAAAACTGAGAGAATTCAAGAGACAAATAGAAAATTCAACAAAAAGAGTTTAATATTCCACTTTCAAAAATGGATAAGACAATGAGTCAGAAGACCAACAGGGAAAAGGAAGACCCTAGCAATGTATTCACGTGATCATGTTTTTGTAAAATCTGGAAAAATATTTTAAGTGAAAATACTGTAGTCAAGATTGTTGTTTTTTCCCACTCTGACTTCCCCTCTGTCACACTTGCTCCTGTGTTGGGTGACAGTGGACTATGGGCATCTTGGAAATCTAAGGCATGGTTAAATCTAAGATACATGTAGTTTGAATAGAATATATTTATGTGGTTTATAGTCATCTCTAGCTTTTCCAGGTTGGAATGGTTTTCAGGAATACTCCTCCTGCCCGCCATGCCAACCCACCCACTATCGTAAACACAAAGGCACAGAAGCAGAGGTGGTGCTTGCAAAGTGAATCTGTCCTACAGCACCAGGCACCAGAACTATTTGTAGTCAGGAAGAAACCAGGTTCGAAATTGGAGAACCAGAAGCTAGTATGTGGAAAATACTTCAAATTATCAAAAAGTAAAATTGTAGAGGAGACAGAGAAATTCTCTTAAGGAAAATAATAATGCAGCATTTGCGATTTTAAAACAACCATGTCTTTTGATGGGAAATAGAATTTATCAGAATTTCTTTGGTTTTAAGGCACAACTCTATAAATGATTACTATATCTGTGAGATAATTGATATATTGTCACATCACAATTTTAATAATACACACTTCAACCAATTATATAAAGACTGAAAATATTTAGAAGAACACGTTTTTGTATAGAGAAGTGCTCAAGCTATACAACCAAAAATATGTATGAAAAATATGATATCCATAATATATATGTGAAAATATATGTATAAAGATATTCCAGTCTTCTTGAACTACCATAGCAAAATATCATAGATTGAGTGGCTTCAACAACAGAAATTTATTTCTCGCAGTTCTGAAGGCTGGAAAGTTCAAAATCAAGGTGATAACAAGATAATTTTCATTCTGAGGCTTCTTCTTTTGGCTTGCAGACTACCACCATCTTACCATGTGTTCACAGGCTATCTTCTTTACATGTGTGCAGGAGAGAGATTATTCTCTCATGTCTGTTATAAAGACACGAATCCCATCATGAAGTTACACCTTCTTGAGCTCATCTAACCCTAATTACCTCCCAAAGGCCCCATCTCCAAAAACTATTACATTGGGGGATTAGGGCTTAGACACATAAATTTAGAGGGGATACAAGCATTCAGTCCATAACAAAAGTGTGCAATAATAATTAATTAATGTATTATGCATTCAGTGACTTTTGTGATATTTATCTGCCCTTTAACATTGGGACTTAGTGTGATTTATTTTCTTTTGCTAAATAAATACTCAATTTCACACCTAATTTTTTGTAATTTTGCATTCTGTCTCTCAGAGGAGATCTCAATTATTGTATAAGTTTCCAGCCCCACAAAATCTGGATCATTTCCTGGCCCCAACATCACTTTCCCTTATCCCTAAATCATCCAGTCCCGGTTCTCATCTAAAGTTCCCCATCTTCAACACAATCCTCAACTCAACATATCACTTTCCCTGATATACTAGCCAACCATGCATTTCTAACTACTCAAAAGATTATAAATCACAAATCTCAGGAACAACTTTGGTGAAAGGAGAAATCTTTTTAGAATACAGAGGAGGAAAAGAAGTTGAATAAGCAAAGACTGTATATCAATCTTGGGAAATGATAAGGGGTATAAGACTAGTAACACATGCATGTTAATATTTATCTTCTTATAAAATATATATTTCTATTCAACATATACAACTTTCATCCAAAGTTTCCACATGATTCAGTTACAGTCACCATATTTTACCTAGCACCACTGTATTTCTCCAACCCTCAGGCCCTGTGGCTGAGTTTAGCTTATCTTCACTCAGGGTTGATAGTTTCCCACTGGTCCCACAGTCCACCACAGCAATCTGGCTTCCTGCAGGTGCCATTCAGTCAGCCAGTCATGCCATTGTAGGTCAGTATTCCAGGTGTCAACCCTTTTTTGAATTACTTTCCAATAAGGCTTCTTAGCTCCAAAATGAATCAGTCTAATATTAGTGAATTCTAGAAGAAGGGGCTTAGGGGAATGGGAAGAAACCAGCCTCACACTTTCAAGTTACAAGCACAGGACACGTTACGTAGAACACAGCTCACTTGGACTTCACAAGGGCTCACTGTGATCTGTGAAGACAACTGCCACATAAACACAAAGTGTGAAGTTTGATTTTCTCCCTGGGAATCAAAGACAGAGTGATTGCTTAATAAATGCTCCCACTGTGGTGTATAAATGATATTGATCTCTGCAGTTGGCACTAAAACCTGTAGCTGGTACATTGCATTTTTAAAAACCTTCATCTCTAAATCCAAGCTAGCAATTTGGCATCAAATATAGCAGAAGACTTTTCTATCAATATCTTACCTAACAGATGGAGAAAAATCCTGGTTTACAGGAACTCAGGTAACCATGGCTTTCAGTGCATTGGAATATTTTGCTTACTCTAATTTTATAGAAAGACTCATCACAAAAATATCCCCGACATGATAAGACAAAAACCAGAAATCTTATGTGAGAGGTTAGGAATCCCCCCCAAAAAAATTTTTTTAATGTTTTAGGGTCATTGATTGTCCATCTCAATATTCACCCTTTTTATAATTCCATGATGTTCCATAACTTATCATCAGAGTACATTATTTTTAACAACATTCTATTGCTTATGGCAGGAAAATGAATGTGAAAAATTTTTAAGGAACTTCAGCAAGGGCTGAAGTGAAAAGGATTTTATTTAACCATCAGTGGCCCAGATCATCATTTTAGCACCTCATTGATTCAACATTTAGGATTAATCAAGCTGTTATTGTTCAAGGATCAGTAGTTTAAAATAAAAGCTATTTTTTTGGCTTAGATAACCGTTTGGAAGATTTAGTCATCCAAACACATTAAATAAGAATTGTCTTTATTTATCATCAAAAAGTCGATTTTGAGACCATCTTCTTCTCCCCTGTGTCCCAACAACATTATTAAGTAATGCTACTGACAACAGCAGGGAGTCTACAGAATGCATGCCTCACTAGATCACATGTGGCTGTTTCATAGTGTGTCCCACATTGATGTTTAAATATTGGACTATTTGCCTTATCTATACCCTGTATTTTCAACTAAGATTCAAGCATCTTGAGAAAAAAAAAAAGGTGATGAATCTTGTTTATTTTGTATTCCATCCATAAATCACACAGTACCTAAGATGTAATAGCTTCTCAATAAAATATTAGTTTCCTTCATGCACAAAGGGACATGTGTGCTCTTTGTGTTAGATATGAGTCATGGTTTAGCCAGGATAGGTCAAATCGCATTTTTACATGTTGTCATGAGCAAAGCAATAGAACAGGAAACTCAGATGCTATCTCATTAAACATCACAATAGCCTTGGAGATACCATTTTCAATTCTCATTTTACAGAGAAGTTTGAGAATCATAGATGAAATAAATTGTCCAACATTGCATATCTAGTACATTCTGGAGAAGTAATGTAAAACTACATCCAAAGCCCACCTCCCTGTCCTCCACTCATTTATTTGGGGTTTCTATGCTCTAACAAGGTGAAGGAAGCATTTCTATAGATGTCCACAAGACTGGTGCAGCCATTTATGTTTGTTTTGTTTCCTGAACTGCTTATAGATTCCAGATCCATACGCTTTTTGAGGCCTCCACAATGTGAAAGCTCTGGATTTTATCCAGTAAGAAAGGCAGTTTCTCCCACAAGGGCTCCTACTTGGCACTGTGCTAGCCAAACTTGTGGAGGAAGACAGTCAATAATTCAGTATAAAGTACTATACCCAGAGGTTTGGAAGGGTCCCATGACCTGAATATGATATCAATATAAAGGGATAATCTGCTTTTGGGGGAACACATTTGATGGTCCTGGTTTTACATAAGGATTCAAAGTAACTAAGTTAAATATTTACGTACCTGTCCCCTTTGAGACCTTAATTTATCACTAGCAATCAGGAAACTAAGACAGGGAACAATGTCTCGTGCAATGTGGCAAGTGCTGTAACAGAGTCTAGAGTCATAGTTAGGAATGCTACAGGAACTCAGAGTAAAGCGTAATAAGAAGTCCAGTTAGGTCGGGAAGTCTTTACTGAGCTGGGATTTGAAGACTGACTGGGAGAGAGAAGGGACATTCTGGGAAGGAAGAACAGCATAAACAAAGGTACAGAGGTATAAAAATATTTGTTTTGCCCAAGAATTAGAAGCGAGTAGCACCTACTTATGTTGAACCAACAAAAACCTGATGGATGTGATATAAATATTAGTGCATGATAGGAAGGTGTACAAATTATCACATTCCTTTATTTTTTTCTTTTTTTTTTTTTTTTTTTTTGAAATGGAGTCTCACTCTGTCACCCAAGCTGGAGTGCAGTGGCTCGATCTCGGCTAGTCACTGCAAGCTCCGCCTCCCGGGTTCACACCATTCTCCTGCTTCAGCCTCCCAAGTAGCTGGGACTACAGGCGCCCGCCACCATGCCCGGCTAATTTTTTTGTATTTTTAGTAGAGACGGGGTTTCAGCATGTTAGCCAGGATGGTCTCGATCTCCTGACCTCACGATCCGCCCGCCTCGGCCTCCCAAAGTGCTGGGATTACAGGCGTGAGCCACCACACCCGGCCACCTTCCTTTATTTTTTCATATCATATTTAATCTGTTTCTTGTTCCCTCTCCACCTAACTGGTGAGAAATTGGGCTGGAATATTGTGGTGTCTCTCTTTCCCACTCTATGAGATCATCTAAGAGTCCTAAGTGCACACAGTGAAGTACAACAGGGCACTCTTTGCCCAAGGACATAACTGTCCAGCCTTTGTAGTCTGTAGCTGCTGCTGGGTGCTAGCCCTATGACTGATTGGTCACTCACTTTTGTTGGGGATTGGGGATACTCACAGTGGTTCAAACTCAGAGTCCTTTGGAGGTCCATCAGGATCATTTCCAGTGCTTTCCAAGGTACCGTATATGGTGCATAATGTGTACAGAGCCCAAGGTACCCCATAGCATCGGAGGTGCTGCATTCTAGCGGGGTCAAGTTAATTCCACAGGTACAAACCCTTCCACAAACCCTACTCCTCTCTTAGTCTCTCCATAAGATCTCACGACTTTTTGCTTCCTTACACCAAATGTGTGTGTTCATCCCATTCCCTCAGGAGCCACCCAGCTAAAATATGCTCAGTGTGCACAAACCAAAGACTCCTGAGAAACACATACAAACCTCCCTTTTCTCGGGGGTGGGGGAGCATGGGAAGAGTTTTCATCACAAGTTTGGCTTTATTTTCATGATTTTAGTGTTATAATTAGGAGTTTACATATTTTGTTTCTGGATATACCAGTATGGTAGGGTTGTAGATAACTTTTGGTACAGTTGAGTTTTAACTTTTTTGTGGGAAAAAAAAAAACTGGCCTCAAAGATGTTCAGGCTATAATTCTCAGAAATTGTGAATATGTTAATTTACATGGCAAGAAGTATTTTGTAGATGTTATTAAGATTACTGATCTTGAGATAGAGAGATTATCCTGGATTATCTGGGTAGGCCAGGTCTAATCACACAAGTTCCTGGAATCAGAGAATTTTTCTGTCTGTGATCAGTAAGATAGAAAGATGTGATGATGGAAGAAGGGTTAGAGAGATTGGACACTGATGGTTTTGAAGACTGATTAAGGGAGTCATGAAGCAAGGAATGTGGGAAGCCTCACAAAGCTGAAAAAGGCAGAGAAATGGGTTCTCCCCTAGAGCCTCCAGAAAGGAGCACCAACTTGATTTGAACCCACTGAGACTTTTGTTAAAGGGCTTCTGACACACAAAACTGCAAGATAATAAAGTTGTGGTTTTTTCAACCAAGAAATTTGTGGTAATTAGTTACACCAATAATCAAAAACATACTTTTATATAGATGCAAATTATTTAAAAATTTTCATAAATGGAAACATTGGAATCAACAAACCATTAAAACTTACTAATTGAGTTTTTCTGAGTAATATCTGCCCTTCATTTCAAAAAATCAAATATAGTACAGAAGGGCTTATGAGGAAAATAAATAGTCCCCTATCTGATACCTGCACCTCCTCCCCAGTCCTACTTTCCAGAAGTAACAACTTTTAATCTTAATTGCTTTTTTAAGTTCTCAGTGAGACTGTTGTATCTTTTAATGATTTTCTCACTCTATTATTTCTTGATTTTGTCTGACATTATGATTTGATTCCTGATAGGATAGATGAGGATTTAACTCGCTTATAGCCCACTTCCCCATTCCCCTCCCAATAGAGATGGCTGATTTTAGTCTTCCTGTTCATTATATTTTCCGACTTTAAATAACACATTCCAACATTTCAGCCTTGGCCAATCAACCATAGCCAACACCTTCGTCATTGCACTCACTTTTTAAAAGGAAGTGTCCATGTCTCCACCAGTCTTTCACTCTCATACAACTCCTGCCTCCAACTTTCTGTCATCCACAATTTGATTTTCACATTTCAAAGTTGTTACCAACATTTGAAATCTGTTTTGAAACCAAATTTAAACCTTGGTATTTGGATAATAATAAACAGGATTTATATTATATTATTATAACTGTATAAATACTGTACATGGTAGAGCCAACAAACATTCTCTGGTTTTATTTTCTTTCTTTTGTTTATCTTTCTGCATTTTATTCATCGTTATTTTTCTATTGACCTTTATTTTCTTGAATGATTTGCTTTTATTGAATCCATAAATTCTTGCATTTCTCTGGGATAACATTAAATCTCTTGAGCATCTGGAGTTTTCTGTCCTTTTGTCTACATAGGACCCTCATTCCCTAGGCTTATTCATGGTTATAACATTGAATTTCCCTTTGTTATCTCCCAAACTAGATTCTCTCTTTCTGGATCCTAAATCTTCATGACTCTTTGTTTATCCCTCTATTTGCTAGGATATATCAGTAAGTAGTTTTCTTTATAAAGGCTGTTTGGGACTTTTGCAAAAGGCCTTTATTCTACTTTCACATTTGATTGATGCTTTGGTTGATTCTTGGATAAATATCATTTTTATTTTAAAACTTTTGAAGCATAATATACATTCAGAAGTGTTCCCAAGTTACAAATGTATAGTTCAGTGAATTATCACAAAATTAACATGCCTGTGTAACTATTACCTAGACCAAGAGGTAAAATATTACCAGGATCCCAGAAGCTCCCTGATGCCTCCTCGTCATCACTAACCCTTCCCTCTTCCCCCAAAGTAATCGCTTTCTGACTTCTATCACTGTAGACAAATAGTTTTGTCATTCAGACATTTGGGTCTCTAGTTTGGTACTATTAATAATATGAATATTCTTATACATGCCTTTTGGTATACATATGTATGTGTTTCTGTTAGGTATGTCTCTAAAAGTAGAAAAATTTGATTATAGAGTATTTGAATGTTAACATTTATTAGATACTGGCAAACAGTTTTAAAAGTGTTTGCAGCAACTTACATTCTCACCGGTAATATATAAGAGTACGTGGTGTTTTACTTCATTGCCTACAGGTAGTATAACTAATATTTTTAAATTTAGCTTTTTAAATGAGATTTCTTTAACTGAATCCAACACATAAGATTTTTGCTTGTTTGTATATAACAACACATTCATTTTAGTAAAACCATAAAAATGTGAGGGTTATATCCTAAAAGTGGAATTTTAATGCATTTTTAAATCCCCTCTACTTTTCCATTCCTCATTCATCCCCAATACCTCATTTCAAAGTATTGTAATAATACAGAGCAAAACTAGAAACTGGTGAAACTCAGAGGAACCTAATAAGTTGTTGTGGCCATGTGATGCCCAGTGGAACCTCATAGAGGTAAACTATATGGTCTCCCAAGATTGACTATCAGCAAGTCAACCCATATCCTATCATGAACAGCTTTAGAGGAGTATTCTGATGTTAACTTTCCTGGAACTTAGGTTCTTTTAGACTTGCCACTGTTTAAAGACAAAATTTTAGAAGTTTCTAACTATTCTTTATTTCTCAATGCTCATATAATTTATATATAGAAAATATATTTTTGAAGATCTGTTACTTAAATTTTACATGTCAGAAAATTAAAACTTAATTACTATCAAAGGGTAATACAATACTCTTGACCAAATAATTCAAGGAGTGGCAAAAGAATTATAATTAAATTTGCTGAAAAAAAGGTATTTTAAAAGTACTATTAAATAAGCATGGAGCCAATTAGAACGTTTTTGCATTAAGTACCAGCTCTCTGGTTGAGACAATAATGAAAAGAACTGAAAGTTTTATAAAAGCTTCTGTTCTTCTGAATTGTTCACTGTGAATCTATTTGAATTTTAGGACTTCCTCTGGTTAACAATGAAAGTATACATGAATATGTACAATGCATGACAACACTATGTGTCTTAAAAGAATCATTTCACTGATGAACAAAATCAAAATCTATACTTGTGAGAAAGACATGATGGAACTTTTCTTTCTAATAATACAGATGCTTACTTATGCTGGGCAATATGACTCTAGAGATATTTCCCCTGAGATCTAAAACAACAAGTAAACAAAATCAATAATATGGCAATTCACCTCCATGGTCATAATTTTCATTTGTACAGTACTATACAAATGTACAAAACACTTTCACATAATTTTATCTTATTTGATTCTAATGATCTATAGGAAATATGTTCACATTATTGTTCCTGTTTTATAAAATTACAAGGTTCAGAAAAGTTAAGTGAACACTCAAGGCAGTGCATATTATGATTGCAAGAGGTGAAACTAAAGCCAAATTTCTGGTCCCCAGCTCAAGTGTTCTTTCAATTGAGCAATGTTGGTTTTCTATTATATTAACAGACTAAAGCCAGTGGATTATTTGGAGAAGGCATCAACCTGTGGGTATGAACATCAGTTGCTGAGTTTAGAAAAGGTTTTGATATGATGTACAAAATATTTTAACTGGTTCTTTTTTTTTCCTATCTTTGTTTTCTATATTCACGACTGAAATATAAATAAAATGGCAAATAAGGGAGAGGGTAACTTCACGTCAACTGTGGTTTTTTTCCAACTAGTAAAACTAGAGCAGATTTAATAGTAAACAAATGGAGGTAATAAGCAAAGGCCTTGGGTATGACTATGACTTCCAATATCATGTGGGAAACGAATCGACAACACAGCCAATCAACAATTTGTATTCAAAGGTAATAAGGGGACAGTGGCAGCTTTCCTTCAACAGTATTAAAGTTCTGAGCAGACCAGTTTTAGATGTTATATAAGCAAAATCTGAATTAAATATTGGGCAATGCTTGTGTATCCTGTCACGCCAGCCACTATTGAAATTTAAACCCTACAGAGAGCAGTACATGACAGGGTAATGTACATGAAATATTTTCCTTTGGAATTATGTTACATTCCCACCACTAGTTTGTAGTTTGGTGCAATAGTTTGTGTAACCTCTACAGGGACTAATATCCCTTCCAACTCACCTCACACAGTGAACAGTTCCCCTGTGCTAAAACCTTTCAGGAAGATAAATCATTGCAAATAATTTAATGCCCTTTAACTGTCACAAACACAAACATACAAACATACACACACAGACACACACACACACACATACACACATGCAAAGCAAATAAGGTTTTTGATTAATGAACCCTTACCAAGTGGAGAGAGCGTAGCAAGGAAAAAGATATAAGCTGAAATATAATTATTGATCTTTACTTAAATAAAGGAAAACTGGAGGCAGTCTAGCTGAGTACACTATTTTAAAAGACTGATTTCTCTCCAAATGTTTATCCACATAAATTGTCAAGCTTGTTGGACATAATCAACTTTCCAGTTTCAGTAAAAATAAGCACAGCTGATTCTGTCTTGACAATTTATCAATAAATAATGTTCTTATAAAAACTTCTACAGTTGGCAAAATAGATACAAGACTTCAGACGCCTGAAATATTTGGTCCCTTCTTAATCCCTCTGTTATTTTGTTCACCACTTTGAGGGCAGAGGTATCAATCCTGTTCAAACTTGTAATCCCTGTGCCTACCACATTGTAAATATTCACAAGGAAGGAATAAGGAAAAAAGGAGAAAAACATACAGACTAAGAATGACCATGTTCATTTTGAGCACTATCATGAGTTGGCTGGCTAACGATATCAAGGCATGAATTTAATTCTAGTGCTTTGGTTTACTTATTGCTGCATTCACCAATAGCAGTCTGCAGCAGACAACGCACCTATGCCCATAAGGCCTGTGTGTGTGTGTGTGTGTGTGTGTGTGTGTGTGTGTGTATCTTGTGTGTGTGTGTGTAATATATTTCAAGGGTTTTCCATATCTTCTACTACTTTCCATATCTCTCTCTACTATTTATAATGAATAAACTGTAGAATATAGCATACAGCATCCATATGAAAGCAACATCTCATATACAGTTTATGAAAAAAGTCAATGAAACATGTTGATTATGTGTCAAATGATTGCTAACCTTTCTTCCTAGTGTCTGAAGGTAATCTTAGCCATTAAATACCAACTTCTTCAACTCTGCCTCTTTCCATGTTAACATGCCTCTGCATATTTATTATCCTTTTCTCCTTTCTTCAGCATCAGAGAAAATAATGATGCAAACCTTATCTAAGACAAATCCCCTCTCCTCATTTCAGAGTCCTCTCTGATACTTAATTTTATCAATATATCCTTATTGTGCCAGAATTTAAGTCTTTTACTCTTCAATCTGGATTTTTTCCTTTGCATCCTGTTTTACTACCATTGGTTAAAATTCAGAGTTACACTCCCAGTTGGACTC
Organism: Homo sapiens; assembly: GCF_000001405.40. Classification (NCBI taxonomy): domain Eukaryota; kingdom Metazoa; phylum Chordata; class Mammalia; order Primates; family Hominidae; genus Homo; species Homo sapiens. The sequence continues at coordinate 36,907,910 of NC_000011.10, read as the reverse complement.
TCAAAAGCTCAAACAGTCCAACAGCCTCTCTCTCTCACCCACACAAACACACACACACACACACACACACACACACCAACCAATACTTTCTCTCTTCTCCTCTCCTTCTCACTTGCAATAAAGTAAGTCACACAAAATTATTTTGGTTTGCCAGTGCATACACAATTTATGTTTACCATATAACAGTATGTGATTAAGTGTGCAATAGTATTATGCCTAAAAAACCAATGTGCAGACTTTAATTAGAAAATACTATGTAGGTAAAAAAAATGCTGATCATCATCTGAGTCTTCAGTTACTCATAATCCTTTTTGCTGGCGGAGGGTCTTGACTCAATGTTGATGGCTCCAGACTGGTCAGGGTGGTGGTTGCTGAAGGCTGGGATGGCTATGGCAATTTCTTGAAATAAGATGACAGTGAAGTTTGCCAATCAATTGACTCTTCCTTTCAAGAAAGATTACTGTGTACCATGTGATGCTGTTGGATAGCATTTTACCCCCAGTAAAACTTCTTTCAAATTTTGAGTCAATCCTCTCCAAACTTGCTGTTGCTTAATCAAGTAAATTTCTGCAATATTCTAAATACTTTTTGTCATTTCAACAATGTACAACATCTTCACCAGGATGAAGAGTCCATCTCAAGAAACCACTTTCTTTGCTCATCCGTAAGAAGCAACTCCTCATCTGTTCAAGTCTTATCAGGAGATTGCAACAATTCAGTCACATCTTAGGGTACCACTTCTAATTATAGTTCTCTACCTATTTTCACCACAACTACAGTGACTTTCTCCACTGAAGTCTTGAAGCCCTCAAACTCATCCATGAAGGTTGGAATTAACTTCTTCCAAACTCCTGTAAAGTTGATATTTTGATTTCCTCCAATAAATGATGAATGTTCCTAATGGCTTCTAAAATGGTGAATCCTTTCCAGAAGGTTTTCTGTTTACTTTGCTCAGATCCACCAAAGAAATCACTATCAATGGCAGCTATAGCCTTTCAAAATGTAATTCTGAAATAAAAAGACATAAAAGCCAAAATGACTCCTTGATCCATGGGCTGCAGAATAGATGTTGTGTTAGCAGGCATGAAAACAGTATTAATCTCCTTGTACATCTCCAGCTCTTGGACAACTAGATGTGTTGTCAGTGAGCGGTAATATTTTGAAAGAAATTTTTCTTTCTGAGTAGTAAGTTTCAACAGGGAGATTAAAATATTTAGTAGGTAAACTATGCTGTAAACAAATTTGCTCTTGTCCAGGCTCTGTTGTTCCATTTATAGAGCACAGGTAGAATAGATTTAGCATAATACTCAAGGGACCTAGGACTTTCAATATGATAAAGGAGCATGGGCTTCAACTGAAAGTCACCAGCTGCACTGGGGCCTAACAAGAGAGTCATCTTGTCCTTTGAAGCTTCAAAGCCAGGCACTGGCTTCTCCTTCCTAGCTATGAAGGTCCTAGATGGCATCTTCTTCCAACAGAAGACTGTTCTGTCTGCATTGAAAATCTGTTGTTTAGTATAATCATCTTTATCAATTATTTAAGCTAGATTTTCTGGATCCGTCAAGCTGGATAACTTGCTGCAGCTTCTACATCAGCACTTGTTTCTTCACATTGCACTTTTATGTTACAGGGATAGCTTCTTTCCTTAAACCTGCATAAACTCACCTTTTCTAGCTTCCACAGTTTCTTTTGCAGCTTCCTCACCTCTCTTGGCCTTCACAGAATTGAAGAGTGTTAGGCCCTTGCTCTGGATTAGGCTTTGGTTTAAGGGAATGTTGTGACTGAATTGATCTCTGTCCATACCACTGAAATGTTCTCTTTATCAACAATAAGACTATTTCACTTTCTTTGCATTTGTGTGTTCACTGGAGTAGCACTGTTAATTTCCTTCAAGAAGCTTTCCTTTGTATTCACAACTTGGCTATCTGGTGCAAGAGAACTAGCTTTTGCTAGTTCTTGTCTTGACTTCTGCATAGCAAAAGAAACTATTATCAGAGTGAACAGGTAACCTACAGAATGGGAGAAAATTTTTGCAATCTATCTATCTGACAAAAGGCTAATATCCAGAATCTACAAAGAACTTAAACAAATTTACAAGAAAAAAACAACCCCATCATAAAGTAGGTGAAGGATATGAAGAGACACTTCTCAAAAGATATTTATGCAGCCAACAAACATTTTAAAAAGCTCATCATCACTGGTCATTAGAGAAATGCAAATCAAAACCACAATGAGGTATCATCTCACGCCAGTTAGAATGGCGATCGTTAAAAAGTCAGGAAACAACAGATGCTGGAGAGAATGTGGGGAAACAGGAATGCTTTTACACTGTTGGTGGGAGTGTAAATTAGTTCAACCATTGTGGAAGACAATGTGGCGATTCCTCAATGACCTAGAACCAGAAATACCATTTGACCCAGCAATTCCATTACTGGGTATATACCCAAAGGACTATAAATCATGCTACTATAAAGACACATGCACACATATGTTTATTGTGGCACTGTTCACAATAGCAAAGACTTGGAACCAACCCAAATGTCCATCAATGATAGACCGGATAAAGAAAATGTGGCACATATACACCATAGAATACTATGCAGCCATAAAAAAGGATAAGTTTGTGTCCTGTGCAGGGACATGGATGAAGCTGGAAAGCATCATTCTCAGTAAACTAACGCAAGAACAGAAAACCAAATACCACATGTTCTCACTCATACTTGGGAGCTGAACAATGAGAACACATGGACACAGGGAGGGGAACATCATAAACTGGTGCCTGTCAGCGGGTAGGGGGCTAGTGGAGGGATAACATTAGGAGAAATACCAAATGTAGATGATGGGTTGATGGGTGCAGCAAACCACCATGGCACGTGTATACCTATGTAACGAACCTGCACATTCTGCTCATGTATCCCAGAACTTAAAGTATAATAAAGAAAGAAAGAAAGAAAAGAAAAAAAAACTAAGTAGGACACTCGTGTAAGAGTAGATTTAATTTTCAGTGTTGACATAGTTCAGTTAAAACATGGTAAAGACAAATTAAAAGACATTTATATTTAAAAAAAAAAGAAAAGAAAACCACACCTGGGCATATAAGAATCTAACTGCTAAAAACAAATCCCCAAAATTGAAGAGAAATTGTTTTTAAATCAGCCAGAGGGGTCAAAGAAACATTTTCTTTAAGGAGAAAACAACTAAAATGACAGCTGATTTCTCAATAGAAACTATGTATGCCATTAAAAAAATGTAATTGTTTATGTGATTATATTATCACTTTTGGTTTTTTGGGTTTTATTTTTTAATTGACAGATAAAATGATATGTATTATGTATAACATGATGTTTCAAAATATATATACATTACATTTTTAACCTGTTTAAAAAAAAAACAGCCGCTAACACTAGAATTCTATACCCAGTGACAATATCCTTCAATAATGAAGGCAAAAGAAAAATAATCTCAGACAGACACAAAGTAATAAAATTCATTCAAAACAGACCTTTACTGTAGGAAATACTAAAGGAATCCCCTCTGGGTAAAGCAAAATAATTCCAGATGACAGCAAGAAAGCCCAGGAAATAATGAACAGCACCAGAAAAGGTAAATATACAGGAATATAAAAGATGTTGACTGTTTAAGACAACGACAACATTTTTGTGAAGTTTATAGCTTATATAGAAGTAAAATATATGACAAAATAGCAAATAAAAAGTGAGTTATTTGAAATAACTTGAAATCATAATTATAATTCAGATCAAGTAAACACATTTCATTCTCTGAAAGTCTTACTCAAAAATATCCCTATTTATAAATTCTGTACCAATGCTTTTCTGATAGACCATCAATTTGGTAGTCATTTATCTTTGACTTGCTTTTCTTTATAGCTTTTCTAAAATGCAATAAATGTAGATAAATTTATCCTGGGAATAAGCATGACCATCAGAAATCTGTTTTATATTACAGGTTGTTATGCTCTCTTTCCCATATTAAGGCATAATTTTACTAGATTCCATGTTGACATGCTCTGAAAAAAATAGCTCAGTAAAGTCTGTTACCGAGAATGTAGCTCACAACAAAAACTCTCTTTTTTCTGAGGACTGGTCTTTTGAAGAGCTGTTTTGTTTTTATTTGACTAACAATTTCAATTATGTATTGCATCATGTTAACCTCTTCATTTTATTTGATAGAAAGCTCAGAGTCAAATTTGTGGTTCTTTTCTAGGCAATCCAGGGATATATATTCCCTGCAATTTATACACTACCTTCACTCTTGATTATATCTAAGTTTTTCCCTTGCTTGCTTTCCCTTCACTAATATTTTCTCCTCTACTTTTATATATAATCCAGTAATCCTTGGATTTTTTTTATGTCACTTCAAATCCTTTTTAGAACAAGAAATAAATAAATATATACATGTACATATATGTGTATATACACACATAAACATTTATTCATTTTGGATTTTTTCAAACATTTTATCATTAAATTATCAGAAGCCAAAAAGAAAATGTCTATTATATCCATTTTATATATGAGAAAACAGAATTGGTGACTAGCCCCAAATCATGCAATAAATAATGTAGCCAGAATTCTCCCCCTTTGCTCTACAGCCTGTAATCTTTCTTTTCTACCAAGCTATGCCTCTCATTTGTTTATTGTACCATTCACTTATTAATTCATTGAATGTGTGTTTCTTGCCCATACACTATGTGCCAGAATGGGGATACAGCTATGAATAAATCATTCAAAGCACCACCCCTCATGGAGCATACAGACTCCATCCTATCACATTAGGTTTCTTTTTTGTTTGTTTGGTTTTTGTTTTTTTGTTTTGTTTTGTTTTTGAAACAGAGTCTCGCTCTGTCACCCAGGCTGGAGTACAGTGGCACAATCTCGGCTCACTGCAACTTTCACCTCCCGGATTCAAGCGATTATCCTGCCTCAGCCTCCCAAGTAGTTGGGACTACAGGTGCACTCTACTATGCCCAGCTAATTTTTGTATTTTTAGTAGAGATGGGGTTTCATCATGTTGGCCAGGATGGTCTCGATCTCTTGACCTCATGATCCACCCACCTTGGCCTCCGAAAGTGCTGGGATTACAGGTGTGAGCCACCACACCGGGCCCATGTTAGGTTTCTTTTACAGGGAAGTCCCCTTAGGAGACACACTATTGCATACAATTCTCTATCGTCTCACTCCCCCATTCCATAATATCACAGGTCCTCCAAGACCTGCAACTTCTGTTCTTATTTACATACACCCAACCAACTTTACAATAAATGAACTTGTGAAAAAAGAAGAATTTATGCCACAATTAGTGAAAGATTTTTCTAAGTAATCCAAAAAATTATTAGGATAATAGCAGGATGTTATGAAGCAACATTGAGTTTAGTTTTATGCCGTGAAAGGAGACCAAAAAACATACCCAATACAAAGCCTAACTAACTTATCTCAAATTACACTGAACAAAAGGTAATTTTAGAACCAACTTGTCAAGTATGTCAATTTGCTATAGTTTTTGTGAACCCAGATTCTTTTCATAACTCAACGTCTTGCAATTACTCCCTGTAATTGTAAGAAGGAGTGTGAATATGCCCTGAACAATGGCTGAGTATGGGTTTGAGTGGTTAATGGGATATTGTCAGCAAAGAGAAATTGTCTCATTTCAGTTCATTACTCCAACTCTGCACACCACACCAACCCCTTGTTTCTGACTGTAACATGTGGCTAAGGACACAATAACTTAATAAGCAAAGGGCATTCTGAGGTTATATAAGAATGAAAACTGGAGGGTTTTTTCAGTGATCAAGGAGCAATATCCACAACTCACAGTGCTGTGCCTTGTCATAAAGAATCCAACACCAGTGGGGATGTGCCACTCAACACAAGAGCCTTCACTTACTCTTTCCTCTGTAAGACCCTTTCCAATCCCTTCAAGTTTTACCGATAAATCATTTCAGGGAGAGAAGGTGAGTTCTTTGCACATTCCAGGAGTTTCTTTTCTGAATGGAAAGGGATAACTTTCTAGTGATCACAGGCATTAACAATGCATAGATTCTCCTCTGTTCCACTTTCAGAATTCACCTTTTTATTTCTCAAAACAGAGGGAGAGAGCTGATTTTACGGAAAGAGCAAATACTTTTGTGTTAGACACCTTAGCTTTAACTGCAGTCCTGATTCTTTCTTGCCAAGCATTAAGTAAATTGTTGAACTTTCCCAGCCTCCATTTTTATGGCTGTAATGTGGGGAGATTAGTATAGCCTTCTCCATAGAGTCATTGTGAAGATCAAGAAAGACCTGTATCTAGCTGGATGCTGTGGCTCATGCCTGTAATCCCAAAACTTTCAGGAGGCTGAGGCAGGTGGATCACTTGAGGTCAGGAGTTCAAGACCAGCTTGGCCAACATGGTGAAACCCTGTCCCTATTAAAAATACAGAAATTAGCTGGGCATAATGGCACATGCCTGTAATCTTGAACCCGAACCTGGGAGTTGGAGGTTGCAATGAGCTGAGATCCTGCCACTGTACTCCAGCCTGGGCGACAGAGCGAGACTCCATCTCAAAAAAAAGTTATTACTTCATTTCTAGGTGGCCAGCTATAGGTATTCAAAAAATATTAGTTCTCAGTTCTTCTGCAAGGCAGATCTTCCTGAAGTAGACATTTTGAGAAATAACACTCTGAGATAATCAAAAAAGAAAAAAAATCATGTATATGATCCTACCTTACATGACAAGTCTGCATGGAACAAACTGTAAAGTTCTATATAAATGGAAATAGTTGTGCTATTCCAGCTACTGGCATAATCTGCCAAATATATTAACATGTTTTTAGGGATTTTCTGATCACTCTTTTTTGAAAGATTATTACCTCCCAGAAACTGTGTTGATCTCCCACCTACATTAGCTCACTAATTTTCTCCACAGTCATCCCCAGAAGGGAACACTTACCATCCACTTAATAGCAAAAGAAGTGAGCCCTGATGAGAGTAAATGATGTGCTGATGTTTCCACACTGGTAAGTGGCAGAGCATGAATTCTAACTCAAGCTTCTCTGAGGTTCTAGTGCCTCTGCAAGCCCACGCACAGCCTCCCAGAAACAGAGAGGACAAGGAATTAGATAGAGGCAGTGACATTTTTGCAGAGTTTCAGAGAAAGTCTTGACCCCACAGCCTCCAGAAAAAAAAAAAAAAATCTTCCTGTACTAACAAACCTAGTCACTCTGACAAGGATCAATGGCTCAGGAAATATCTATGAGCCCTGTGAGAAAGATATGATGTGTGCCATCCATAGGGAAAGGGAGGGATTATATTTGAATGTTCCAATTATCAGTGGAATTCTGACTGTGAAACTAACTGGCTGCCTCTTGGTCATTGCTGATTCAGAAAGTCATTCCTCTTTCTCTTCAAAGGCTTCAGGGAAACAAGGAGATTCAGAATCCTACTGTCTCCCCAGACTTTACCTCTCTGAGGTCCAGTTGCAGAAGCTCCCCAGGCTTCTCTAATTTTTGTAGAGTATCTCATGGAAGTGAAAAAAATCTTGTCCAAGAGCCTATCCAAGGAATATTTGAGAAGGTAGAGAACTTTTGCATCTGGGGAAAACACTGGAGGCCCACTGGTCACAAAACACACAGTGAGCAGAAATGAATCACAGTTTAATTGCTTTTCTGCTGCATTGACTAATGAAAGAATTTAACTCTTCATGAAGCCTCCCAGGAATGCAAAACCATAAGCCTTCTTGCTGTAGTTTTTATTTTGCTAGTCTAAGTTACCTAGTCTAACCTTTCAATTTCTGTTCTCACAGCCCCATTTTCTTTCTACAAAGGATAAGCCAATGTCTCTCAGGACACAGCTGCAATACGACTATGGCTTTGCTCCTGAGTGCTACTGACAGGATGACATAGTGAACAAGAGATGGGGAGGAAAAAAAAAGCTCTATTGTTCTGCACAAGAACAAACCAGTGCTTAATCTAATGTAAACATAATTACTTTTAGTTAAACAAAAGGGGAAAACAAATAAAAAGAAAAAAACTTAATGTTTACAGCATAGGCTTTCTGCTCAGAAGTGAACAATTATGTGAGCATCAGATAGGCATCACATTCTTCCTCTCAGCTGCTGCTCTTTGAAAACAAATCTGAAAAGCATTTAAAGAGATGGTTAGACACAGGAGCTCCGAGTCCTAGCTATTCTCTTTTTATCTTCAACATTTTTCATTTTAGGTTTCCATCGTCACTCCTCTCGTTAGTTTGAATATTAATAGAAGGTTGGCATTTTGAGAAACGGTATTAAAGTTGTGTGTCAGGAACAGGAACATTTAAAAATCTTTTCCATTGACTCTTGCATGGGATTGATCCTTTTGACAGTCCCAAACAGAGAATGAGCCAAAAGGAATATTCAATTATCCATTCAACAAATATCTATTGTCAATACACTCCGTGTCAGGTATTGTCCTGGAGTGACCAATACAGAAATGAGGACTGCCCTCCTGGAGTATAGTGTCTAGTGGAAAGAAAAAAATGAATAAAATAACTATGCAAGTAAGTACAGAAAACTACATTTTGCTATGAAGACCTATAACAGAGAAGCCTGTATTATTAGCAAGGTGATAAAGAAGATAGGAATAACATTTCTAAGAAAATTTCAACTATGCTGAGACCTTAAGAATGAAAACAAATTAGGCAAATGAATGGAAAGCAGAGAGGAGAGAACTATCAAGTGAGACCCCCAAATTCCAAAGCATTGAGAGGACCCAAAGAAAGGAAGGGCCATGACATTTTTAAGAACGTGAAAAGTCAGTATATTCGTTTTCCAGTAATGCCATAACGAATCACCACAATCTTCACAGCTTACAACAACTGAATTTATTCTCTCACATTCTGAAAGCTAGAAGTCCTAAATCAAGCTGGCAGCAGGGCCGTACTCCCTTGGGAGGCTAGAGGGAGGAATACCTCTTTACCTATTCCTGCTTCTATGGGTTCCAAGTATTTCTCTGCTAGGGGCTGTGTAACTCTAATCTTTACCACCATCTTCACATGAGGCTCTCTTTTCTCTATGCCTTCCCCTTTTCTCTCTGTATCTTCTTCTGCCTCTTACAAGGATATTTGTCATTAGATTTAGGGCCTTTCTGGTTATTCCAAAATAATCTCATCTCGAGATCCTTAATTACATTTAGAAAGACCATTTTCCCAAATAAGATCATATTTTCAAGTACCAGTGGCTAGTACAGGGTCATATCTTTTTGGAGACCACAGTTCAACACACTACAGTCAATGTTGCTGGAAAATAATGAGTTTGGCAGTGAGAAAGGTGGTTGTGAATAGAGGTGAAGAGACAGGCAAGAGCCAGATTGCACAAGCTCCTGGGGCCTTGTTGAGTTCATCTGTGTTACTGCTACTTGTTGAGTTCATCTGTGAGTTACTGCGTTAACAAATTACCAAAACTTAATGGTTTTAAACAATACCTGTTTATGATCTCAGAGTTCTTTGGATCGGAAGTCTGGGTGCAGCCTGGTTCAGCTGGGTCCACTGTTCAAGACCTCGCCAGCTTGATATCAAGGTGCCCGCTAGACTGGGCTTTCATCTGGAAGCTCTTAGGAAGATTCTGCTTCCACGTTCATTCTGATTTTTGACAGAATTCAGTTATTTGCCTTTGTAAAATGGAATACCACCTTTCCTTGCCACATGACTCTCTTCACTTTCAAGAATACTAGGTCAAATTTGTATCATATTTCAATTCTCTAACTTCCCCTTTTGCTACAATCCTGAGAAAGATCTCTGCTTTTAAGAGCTTGTGATTACATTTGGCTCACCTGGATAGCCCCAACTACACTCCTATTTTAAGGTCAATTGATTAGTAATCTTAACTGCATCTGTAGAGTTCCTTGGGCTATGTAGCAAAACATTCACAGAGATAATACCAGAGGGCAGAAAAATTCTGCCTGCCATATAGTGTATTTATAATGCTCCTTAATGAAAACTCTGATACACCCTTCAACTACAAGATTTCTACTGCTGTTTCCCAAGGAAAGGGTACAGGGAGAGCAAAGTTTTGCCCATTTAAGTTGCAATCTCATAATTGCAATTTCTTTCCTCCTTCCCACTCTCTCCCTTGAACCATAAAATTAGCCCAGCCTATTTTTAGCTGTGTGACTTTGGGCAGCTTACTTAAATTATCTGAGCCTAAGTATTTCTATTATGTAAAATGAGGACAATTATAGCACAAATGCAAAGGGTTGTTTTGAAGGTTAAATGTAAGAATTTAGGAAAACATCAAACAGATATTAATATTTCAACAAAGAGACACAGAACTAATTAAAAGTGGTAGAGTCAAGAGCCCTGGTTCAGAGCTTGCAAATCTAACCCTGGTTGCCACTGGTTTGGCAGAATCACCTACATGTCCCCGTTCTGTTCTCTGATTAGAACTTGGCTGGACCCCTGCCTAGTCTTGCTTTCTGTTGTTAAATTATTGTTTTGCTTTCTGTTCCATAGACTATGTTCCTCTCATTGTCCATGTTCTTATGATCCTGTTCCCAGTGACTCACGATTCAACATACTCTGACTCTACCCCCAACCAACTGCTTTACAGGCTCCAGACTCTCAATTAAAAACAGACCCTGATCATAGTTGACCCACATTGGGCATGTCCTTGAGGCCTCTCCTAACAGATGCCAACCCTTTCCTCATTTGGTAAAAAATAGTCAAAAATGTTAACAAAAAGACGTGGGATCTTTTTCTCCAAAGATACTTCAAACCAATCCAAATTACCAGGAACAATCCCAGCAGGCAGGTCAGAAGGTAGGAATATTCGGGAAACTTCAGAATAATTTATCTAAGCAGCTAGGCTTAGATAAAATAGCCAATGCAAACCAGGAATAATTATTGGCCACCCCAGAAACAACCACCTGTAAAATAGTTTTCTTGTTAGAGTAATCAAAAGAATGAGAAGTTAGCCTGCATCTGGTGTGCCTGCAATAATATGACCCAGTGGAGGATTTTCTTGGCTCAGACCAATGCATGATTGTTCTCGCAGTGACCTGGGAACCCAAATATCAATTGCAGGCATCGATTCTTTCTGTGTTAAAATGCACGCCACCCTGTAGAAGACTGGCTTTAAAACAGCACAGACATGAATTGTCACTGTATAAATTCATCCAGGGATTAACCTGGTTGAATGAAAGCGGATTTGAATATTTCTCTTCAGACAAATTAGAAGGAAGCTCTCCATTCAAACCCAAGCATGTCACTTCACTAAGATTAAGTACTTTATTGTACACCACTATTTTTGTACACTTAATAGCTAGAGTCAGGTAAGAAAACAGCCTCTCAAGAAAGGTTCAGTATTTTGCAAGGTAGCTCTACACTGAGCCACTTCCATTTTTTGGCCCTGCCAGAGCCAAAATCCAAGACAAGAAATTATATTTCAAAGGATTTTGTAACCCATCTTACTCTGGCCAATCTCAGTTGTATGAGTACATCAATCACGTATCTACTCATGTTTTCATGGCATTCTCACTTCTCCCAAGAGTTCACTGATAACAAAAATGTAAAATTCACCTTCTTCTCAAACCATCAAGGTAATTAGTGAGTTTCTATGGTGAATTAGATATATAACTAAGTACCATTGAATTCTGATAGGACTGAGAGGCTCTTGATCTCCTGGGACTGTTTTATCAATTCATGTTGGATACTTGAGTTCACAGCAGCAATTCTGTGGAAGTTGGCATGAGATCTAGGTCATGTAACCAACTCCTCTCAGCAACTTTCTCTGCTGGTTCCCTCTCCAGTGTCGCAGATTTGGTGCAGGGAATGGATTCTGGATTCAAAATGCATCTCTGAATCATTGTTAGCTAAATTTCAGGCAAAGCAATCAGATTGCATAAGGGAAAAAGAACGAGAAATCCAGTACATGCTCATTGCTTTGAAGTTACTGAACATTGTTTTTACTGCAGGCTTTAATTTGCACAATGAATAAGGAGATGATGGAGCTTCTACAAAGGAGATAACTGAAAAGGCTAGGATTCTTTGTTGTACAAAACATGAATGCTAGAGAGAAAGGTTTTTGGAATGTTCAAAAATCTTGGAAATCTCGGATGAGAGTGAGAACCAGCAAAGCCAGAAAAATAAAATATAGGGATACATGGTTTTTCTATTCTTTTGTTAATGTGGCAAAACTTATCTATTTATAAGTGTTAAATCCAAGAATAATAGCAACACTATGCATAACTAAAAAGAATATGTATCTTGTAATGATTAATTTTTTCTTCATTCTCTTCTAAAATAGATATAATTCCTGATGAAAATCAATGTCTCATCTTATATTTAAATGTTGTTCCATTGAACATTTTATTAGTAATAATTCACTACTTAAAATGTGTATTTCAGCAATAAGAAATAATTCAGTGGGCTTGAAAGAAAACAAACTTATTGAAAGTGGAAGAAATCTCCCTTTTAATTATTATACAAGTTTCTCCATCCAAATATTTTAAACACTTTCCAAAGAGTCCTCGGAATTTACTTTTTTATTTGAGAAATGTTTTAGATTTACAGAATTATTGCAAATATAGTGAGAGGGTTGCCATATACCCTATACTCAGTTCTCCATATTATTAACATCTTACATTAGTATTGTACACTTTCATAAACAATGAACCAATATTGATATATTATTATTAAATGAAGTCCATATGTTTTTCAGATTTCTTCAGCTTTTCCCCAATGTCATTTTTCTCTTCTAGGATCTCACATAAGAAATCATATTACATTAAGTTGTCATGTCTCCCAAGACTCCTCCTCACTGTGACAATTCCTCAGACTTTTTTATGACCTTGAGAGTTTTAAGGAGTACTAGTTAAGTATTTTATAGGCTGTTCCTCAGCTGGGATTTGTCTATTTTTTTTTCTCATAATCAGAGTCAGTTAATGTGTTTTGGGAGGAAGACCACAGAGATGAAGTATCATTCTCTGTCACATCATATTAAGACCACATATTACCAATAAGATGTTATCCTGGATTACCTGGCTTGAGGTAGTGTTTGTCAGGTTCCTCCACTGAAAGGTTACTCCTTTTTCCCCCTTTACACACTACACTCTTCAGAAGAAAGTTATTGCAGGCAGCCCACGCTTAAGGATAGGGGAATTCCATGGTGTATATGTGCCACATTTTCTTAATCCAGTCTATCATTGTTGGACATTTGGGTTGGTTCCAAGACTTTGCTATTGTGAATAATGCCACAATAAACATACGTGTGCATGTGTCTTTATAGCAGCATGATTTATAGTCATTTGGATATATACCCAGTAATGGGATGGCTGGGTCAAATGGTATTTCTAGTTCTAGATCCCTGAGGAATCGCCACACTGACTTCCACAATGGTTGAACTAGTTTACAGTCCCACCAACAGTGTAAAAGTGTTCCTATTTCTCCACATCCTCTCCAGCACCTGTTGTTTCCTGACTTTTTAATGATTGCCATTCTAACTGGTGTGAGATGATATCTCATAGTGGTTTTGATTTGCATTTCTCTGATGGCCAGTGATGATGAGCATTTTTTCATGTGTTTTTTGGCTGCATAAATGTCTTCTTTTGAGAAGTGTCTGTTCATGTCCTTGGCCCACTTTTTGATGGGGTTGTTTGTTTTTTTCTTGTAAATTTGTTTGAGTTCATTGTAGATTCTGGATATTAGCCCTTTGTCAGATGAGTAGGTTGTGAAAATTTTCTCCCATTTTGTAGGTTGCCTGTTCACTCTGATGGTAGTTTCTTTTGCTGTGCAGAAGCTCTTTAGTTTAATTAGATCCCATTTGTCAATTTTGGCTTTTGTTGCCATTGCTTTTGGTGTTTTGGACATGAAGTCCTTGCCCACGCCTATGTCCTGAATGGTAATGCCTAGGTTTTCTTCTAGGGTTTTTATGGTTTTAGGTCTAACGTTTAAATCTTTAATCCATCTTGAATTGATTTTTGTATAAGGTGTAAGGAAGGGATCCAGCCATAAAAAATGATGAGTTCATGTCCTTTGTAGGGACATGGATGAAATTGGAAACCATCATTCTCAGTAAACTATCGCAAGAACAAAAAACCAAACACCGCATATTCTCACTCATAGGTGGGAATTGAACAATGAGATCACATGGACACAGGAAGGGGAATATCACACTCTGGGGACTGTGGTGGGGTCGGGGGAGGGGGGAGGGATAGCATTGGGAGATATACCTAATGCTAGATGACACGTTAGTGGGTGCAGCACACCAGCATGGCACATGTATACATATGTAACTAACCTGCACAATGTGCACATGTACCCTAAAACTTGAAGTATAATAAAAAAAAAAAACATTAAAAAAAAAAAGGATAGGGGAATTATTGTCCACCTCCTTAAAGGCAAAATAGCTGCATAAGTTATTTTAAATTCTTCTACATGAGAAGTTTGTCTATTCTCTACCCAATTTATTTTATCATTTATTTATGTCAGTGTAGACTGATGGATATTTATTTTATTCTTTGATTTATAATGCAATATTCAATTGGCTCCCATGTCTCTTTGACATACTGCCATCATTGTGGGGTGGCTGTTGATTTTCGGTTTATTGTTTCTTTGTTTGAGTTCTTTTGTTTGTTTGTTTGTTTTTTGTTTTTGTTTTATCTTCTGGCCCCGCAAGATACTCTAGGTTGATCTCGTATGTTTCTTGCACAGTCGTAGAATCAACGCTTGGAGCACTTCTCCATGGAGTTCTGATTCCTTTTATTAGAAAGGGATTTTTCTTTTTACATATTAGGAAATACCCCTAAAGATGAATAAATCAAGGAACAAGACAAGTCCATGATAATGAGTATACAACAAAAAATATTTTATGTTTGCAAAATGCATTCGAATTTTCAAGTACATAGGAATTCATTTGAGCCTCAGAGATACCCTAAGAGGCAAGCAGGGTTAACAGTATTACTCCACTTTGCCAATGAAGAAACTGAGGCCTTAAGTCTTCTGTGATTGCCCAAGATCACAGAGTAAGAGACTTGCAAGTCCCAAGCAAATGTCTAGATTTTCTAGTTTATAAATCAGTGCTATAGTGTCATTCCAAAATATACAAGTGAAGATGTATAGATGCCTAAAGGATGTGGCCAAACTTCTATTTGGTATTGCTATCAACAAGTTTTTCAGAAAATTAGAAACATTCAAAGAAAATTCTTAACCCTTAATTTCATAGAAAACATAATACTTTCCTCAATAAAGTCCCTGGTCAGTAACAAAATACTGAACTGTCCAGAACAGATTATTTATTGGTGTGATTTACTATGTCATTCAATGAATAATTTCAGTAGAAGACTTAGCAGTGGAACCCTTTGTACCATACTTTTAATTAAGCACCCCAAGTTTTCACCACCCAACAGCCAAGAAATTCAGCTTCTAAATCAAAACTCAAATATCAGTCAATTTCAGCCTTTATTTGTGTGGGGGTGTGTGTGTGTGTGTGTGTGTGTGTGTTAAAAACATCTACATAAAAAAACCAATAGGAGAATTAATGTGGATGTGAATTTGAAATCTTGAGTATAATGATCTTATTAGCCAGAAATTTGTAAAATCAACTGCCCTGAGTCTCAGGAAATGAAATAGATTGTTTCTACCCAATGTGAGAGTGAAAGCAAGACCTATAGGAGGAGAATCATTAAAAAAGTAAGTTGTTCTATTTCTTTGTCAATTCTATAAGGTAAATAAAATTACTAACATAAGTAAAATGTAAAAACTACCCAAATACGTTGTGAACCTCAAAGAGCTATGTCAATACTTTATGTTTATAAAATTTCTGTTTCCATTTAAAACTCAAACCAAGTTATATAGTTATTCTCTCTTTGGTACTCCCAGACTTCTTTGTCTATGCCTACATTAAAGCAAATTTTAAAGTAACTGTACTTGCTTATTCACATGTCAGTTCTTATCCCCAGACTATGCTTTCCTAGAAAAATACTATGGCAGGCACTTCAAAAATGATTCTAGAATGAGTGGATTCTTGACCGCTACCTCATCATAGTGTCAAGCTTTCCTAATTAGCTCAACCCAAATTAATGACCTTCTCTTCTCAACAACTATAGTAGTTATGATGGAAATACTCATCTGATATTCATTATGTAGCACTTCATATTTTTATTTTATGTATCTTATTTCTCCATTGGATTATAAATTCCTTTAGTATTACAATTGGAAGCTGTAGGCTTTTTATTTTTAAAATAAAGATGATCATATCTCTTCCTTATCTGTAAAATAAAGATGATTATATCCTGCAAGGCTATCACAAGATAATGCATGTAAAGTCATATAGTACAGTAATTGAAATAAAGAAAATGGTCATTAGCTTTCATTTCCTCTCCACTTTTATTATTTCGTATTCCTCGTAGTTCCTATTACAATGCCTTGCACATAACAGGTACTCAATAAATGCCTGATGATGCATTGGGAGTGCTGAAAGTTTGAGAAAAAAAAGTTAATGTAGACCAAAGACTAAAAATCAAGGTCTAGGAATCGGTGGTTAACTTGAAGAAACAGGAGCTCTGTTTTTCACATTGGCTCCGGTAAATGCATATTGTGTTATTACCATCGTGCAAAAAGTTTCAAATCAAATTGTTAACACAAATAGTATTATGGTGCCTTACAGATCACCAGAAAGATAGCTAGCACTTTCAATAGCAGATGTTAAGGGTGAAAAGCTGGATTTCTGCCCAAACAGAAATGGAAGTTCTGCTTTTACTCAAGGTTAGTATGGTTAGGGTCATTAAGTAAAGTTTGGATTTTATTTGACAAGCAAAGATGGCAACAGATACTTTCAGAACCATCCACTGATCAATAAGCTGCAAAATGTCAACATTATATACTACGGCATATAATACAGCTGGTTTTCTTCACTTCCTCTCCTCATTGTCTTCCCCATAGGGTAAAGCCTTCTTGCTCAGTAGTTTTTGATGGAGGATTTTACTACTCGAGAAAGTAGTGGGTCTGGATGGGAAATTAGGTTTTCATGACAATAACTAAGGAATCACAATCAAATTTACTCCATCAGTATATTACAACTTCATATTCCCCTAAACCTGCTGTAAATAAATAGTAAGATTTTAAAACTCTCATAAACATACATATGACAATCTATGAAAAACCAGGCTATTTGCTTCAAAAAAAATCTTAAAGGGACTGATAAGGCTTAAGATGTAAAAAAAAAAGTTTGAGTACCAGCAGGAGAATTAATGTGGAGGTGAATTGTTTGGATGATACCAAAAGAAGAGAAATAATGAAGAGGAAAGGTGGTATCAGGGAAGAAAAGTTAAAATGAAAGCAAACACATACAGTCTGTGAGATGTATTTAAATCTCAGAACCAAACTAGCTATCTAGGGGAGGCTGCTTTTCATCTTCCGAATTGACATAGCCTTTTGAAACCTCTGTGGCTTTGACCTTTCATTATTGCCCAACACAGTCACCTGCCTTCACCCCTCACCCTAGTCTCTCAGCTGAGGTGCCAGAGAAGATGCCCTCAGTCATTCTGCAATAGCATGAGGCTTTTGCTGCTTTTACTTCAAAACTGGCCAGATTGGGAGATGTGAGTCTTGCAAGAAAAGATTTTTCTCTCAGTGCCAGCATTTTTGGTGAGAGATGTAATACATCAAAGTGGAGAAGAGATGCAATCATGCAGGGAATGATTTCAAAAACTTTAATGAACCGTTTAAAATAAACTCATTTGAAGGTAATTTAGCAACACACTTTTACAATTAAAAATACTATTTTAGCATGCAAATGCAGAACATTACCCCCATGTCAGGACAGAAAATGAAGTGAAACTGAGGGGCTTTTGAAACATGAATGCCATCTCTGTAATTTCTCATCACTCCATGGCGCTCTTAGGCAGCTAATGAAAGAATGAATTGATTTAAACAACATTTTGTTGGAGCAATGGGGTTTGAGGAATTAAATTAACTTGATGGTTGGTTGTAAGAGCCAGGCCCAGCATTGGCATTATATTGTTACTAAAATTAATTATATCTTCTCCTAAGTTTTATTTGGGTATTTTTTTCTATTATTTCTAAAATACCAACCAAGAGTTTCAACGATTAGCAGAATATTTCATCAGTACTCTTTGATGTATTAACATTTGCTTAAAGATGTATATTAAGGCAAAATTATACTCTCTGGGAAAACAAATTGGAGTCCAACTGCTGCCCCTAGGAATTACAGTAGCAGCAGAGTCTTCCTTGGAAGGGTAATAAGAGTAACAAGCTGGAATGCAGATTAAGCCAAGACAGAAATTCTCAGTCTTTTTCTTCACCTCAAAACAGTTGACAAATCACATTCACATAGCACATCCATGGCTGTACCAGGTTACAGATTTCAGCATTCCTAAGACAGGCTGCAGGCTGTGGGCAATTCCCAATGCACTGGCTAAAATGTACAAGTTTTTCTCCCACTGGAGAAAGTCTATCAAAATGCTAGTTAAGTGAAAGTGACATTATTATAGAGATAATCTTATGTAAGCTTGAATTTTTTAAAGTAGGTTATAAATTTTGTACCTTAACTGTTATGAAAAAGAAAACAGGTTAAAAAATAATAGGGATAACATGTATAGGCCAATGTCTATATATGCCAATGAGGTGATACCTTATGGATATGCACATTTTTTTGCTACAAAGCGTTGCTCTCTTTACAAGCTTAACCATAGTTTTTTAATACTAACCTCAAAAGATAATACTAAAATTACGTGCTCTTCTAATTGTAACAATATAATTAGTAGTAATTTTTACTATGTTTCAGCTGTATTGGGTGGTATGTTCTAGACAGATAAATCTACATTCCCTGTATTAATTCCCATGTAAATTCTCCAAGATAATATTGTATTCTCCCCATTTTAGGGAGAAACAAACTAGGGTTCAGACTTGCCCAAGATTTTACAGGTGGTAAATGGTAAAACTAGAATTTGACCAAAAGTCTGTGCTTCACCGTGACCTGGTAGTCACTTGTTGCCAATGTCCATGGCTCTGTGAAGAAAAAAAATAGTAGACATGAATATGGTGCTTTCATTTTTTTCCTCTTCTACAAGACCTCTTGCATCTCCAGGAGCACTGTTCTCTTGCAAAAAGGTCTCTTGGGAGTCTGTATAAATATTCCCACCAGGAAGTGCTTGTTCAATACTTGCTTCTTTAAAGAAAAACTTCAAATCCAATTTACAAGTCACCTGAGAAAATGTGTCTTATTTCCTCCCAGGCTTTCCACGATCATACAAATGTAATTTTAAATGTTATCTCCATCTTGTTCCTCCATGTAATCTCTGTAGACATTTTTTAAAGAGGACTTACAACATGTTTTTAGCAAAGACAGTATCTCTAAAACAAGCACATAACATTCTGAAGAGACTATTTTGAAGGGCACAACAGATGTTCAAAATTTTAAATTCTAATATATCTATTTTTTATAGTTTTTACTTTTAGAGTAGTTTTAGGTTTACAGAAATATTGAGCAGACGGTACAGAAAATTCTCATATACAACCTTTCCCCAATGCAGTTTCCCCATTAACATCTGCTTTAGTGTAGTATGTGTATACAGTATATGAACCAATACTGACACATTATTACTAACCAAAGTCCACAATTTACATTACGGTTCACTCTTTGGGTTATACAGTTATATGGGTTTTGACAGTTGCATAATGTCATGTATCCATCATTAAAGGATCACACAGGATACTTTCACTGCCCTGAAAATTCTCTGTGCTCCAACTATTTGTCCCTCTTTTCCTACCCCTGAGCCCCAGGCAATCACTGATCGTTTTATTGTCTCCAACATTTTTGCTTTTCCCAGAATGTCATATAGTTGGAATCATACAGTATATAGCCTTTTCAGACTGGCTTCTTTCACTTAGCAATATGTATTTAAGTTTCCTTCATATCTTTTTGTAGCTTTAGTATATCTATTTTTATTCTAGCAACATGTTAAAAGAAGAAATACAAAAACGTGTCTCCTCCGTCTTACATCTACATTTTTTAAAAGTGCATAGGGGAAAATATGGGAAGGTAATTGGCTACAATACATTAGAATAGTGGGATTGTGATACATAGTTTCTTTCCCCTAATTTGCAGCTTGCAGATTTTGAATTTTTATTGAGATGTTTCTGAAACTATGGTTCAAAAAAATCAAAAAAGAAATAATCATGTCTCTTTGTTGTTCTTTTCCACTTATTTGTCATTCCAGCTATATGCTTTTCTCCCCCCTCCCATTTTCCGCATGTCTGGTCTGAGCCGAGTTAAAATTGTCTGCGTATTTTACCTGAGAGAGAGGGAAAGATAAGAAGGGGAAGAAAACAAAGTCAAAGGAAACAAACACATTTAGGAGGAGTCAATAACAATATATTTTAGATAAGCCCATGAGTACTCATGGCCCCCTTTTGGATTAATGAACAGTTAGGGCCAAAGAATACCAGCTTCGTGGCAATGAATCAAACAGAATCTAATCCTGCTGTGCAGCCTCTCCTATTGCAGGAAAATCACACCTCTCAGCCCAAATCAGGTAAAGCCTAGTTCTCATTATAGCTATGGTGTGTTGAGCCCTCTCTTCATTGCAAATTCTGTGCTAATTATTCTGCATGCATTACCTTATCCAATTCCCACAGCAATCCTATGTGATAATTTAATAGATAAGAAAACTTAGGATCAAAGAGGTTGAAGAAGTTAAAAAGCTGGATTCAAACCCAGATCTGAGTGAAAAATCTCTCATATCCACTAAACACTGCCACCAGTAACGATATGAAAAAAAAAATCAATACTTCCCTCATATAATCATTCCTGTCCCAATTTCATTTGTTTCCTCTGTAACCAAGAGCTTTCACAGAGGAAAAAGGGAAGGGTGTCTAGGCCAAAGACCATCATTTAGAACCTGTCCAGTCTTCCCATATTAAATGGAAGAATTAAGTAATTTATGTCTTTTTAAAGCTATTGAATGAATATCCTTTAGATCCAAGGTTCCCTGACTGGTGCAGCCTGAAGGATTTTGCAGACAATTAAACCTAAATTCAACTTCCAACTCCAACCTTCCATTTCCTATTTGACTCCTCTTATCTTTAATTGCTTAATTTATAAAATGGGGATTAAGTAAAGGGATTGCTGAATAAAAACCTACTCAAGCAGTCATTCAACTTACAAATGTGATGAAGCAGAGATAGAGATGTGAGGCTTAGAACATTTGGCCCTGAATGGCATCCTTGCTTCCTGATTCTACCACCTGGAATCAGGTTACACATGGTGGAGTTACACCTGGTGGAGCAACCTTCTGCAAATTTCTTAACCTCTGTGTCTACTGCCTTATCTATAAAATGGGGCCTGACCCATTAGAGTGCCTGACCCTGGAGATTGTTAGGAGGATTAAAACGGGTAACAATAAGTAAAACAATAGGGCAATGCCCATCTTATAGTCAGAATAAGAAGTTAGTATTCCTCAGGTTCATCTTAATAAGTCTATTTCTCCAAAGACTGGGAATGTGGGCAGAGAGTCAATAATCAATATGTGAATAACTCAGAGGCTGTTTCTATGATATGAGTGACAGTCATTCTATTAAAATGCTGCATAGAAGCAAGGACAAGAGAGTTGCAGACAGTAACCAGGCATGTTAGAGTGCGAAAGGCCAAGGTCATACTGAAGAAGAGATATGTGACCCACAGTGCATGCACACTGCATACGCTTGTCGTGCCAAACTCCTATTAATGTCAACAGGGATGGTACCAGGTTCAAGAAGCAAAAAAAAAAAAAAGAAAAAGAAAAAGATCTGAAGGTAGCAAATGAAACAGAGTTTTATTTGGAGGAAACACACACAGGGAGAGTCCAGTGGCAGCAGGCTGGGCAGGAGAACTGTAACTGCTTGCAAAAAGCGTGCAGTTTATATAGCATTTTCACTTAGCACACTCCCCCTGACAACTTCTACCTGGCAACTTTCATTTAACCCCAAACACAGGGCCTCAATCCCCTGTACAGCCCGCATTCAACAAGAATGGACAAGGCTGCTCAGATGTTCCTCATAGACAAGGAACAAATTTCCAGGTTGGCTACTCCTGGATTCCTTAGCTTGGAACTCCAAACACACACTGGAGTGTGTCTGCCATACAGGGTCATTCTCAGGGTGTGCTTAGTTAAGCTATTGCTGTCAGGTACATCTGCCATACACTCCACCCCAGCACACCTTTGAATGGCCCCCACATTCTTATCATGCCATTCTTCCATGATTTCCCTGGGGCCAGGTATATGGAAGAGCACTGTGGACATACTAATCACAACATCAAAAAAATAATAAGGGTAATTTGTAAGACTGAAATGGCTCCAGGTACTCAAGTTAGCTGCGTGGATGCACCACAGAAGGGCCATGGTAGCAGAGGAGGAGAGGGGCAGCTCTTGAGAGTCCCAACAGCCTGTTTCATTTGACAGAGAGGCCACCATCTGCTCCCAGTCGGCAAAGTGGTTTGCTGCGCACCATCTATGGGCAGAAGGTGAGATACTTAGTAGGTACAAGAAAGGACAAGTCATGGGGATTTAACAAGACACAGGAAGTTGTGTCATTCTGAGAGAGCACCACTCTGGCAATGGTCTGCTGCCTGGTTTACAATACTGAATGTACTGGCCACCCACAGTGGTGTTTTGTGGGAGGCCAGAGTAAGACAATGGGGGTAACGTAATTGTCCATAATGAGAGGATGATAGTCCCATTGCACAGGGAAAACCAAGATTCATTATTTTAGAATTACAAGGGGGAGCAGTGTGTAAAATAGGTGTGACCTGTATATCCTGTTCTAGGTCCTTCCCCCATGGAGGGGAACAACTGAACTATTGGGGGCTGGTTTGCCATTTCCGGGGCCACATTATGATGTGTTCCCTTGTGGGTAGGTCCTGTGTCAAGAACAATAGCAGTTTGCCTTGAATCCCCAGTTGAGGCAAAGATGTACTGTCCACTGCACTGTCCACCTGAATCCTGATGGTGGTGTCAGGTCCTTGCATCAGGAAAGTGTATGCACAGAAGTGATGAGAACGCACATGATCATTCAGGGTGCAGGTGGCTGATGGTAAGCAGCATCTCCTGCCAGAGTTGTTGCTTCAACAGCTCATTCATCTGTTCAGTCAGCCCTGCTGCTGTAGAGTTGTTTGGCAGGTGGAAATGCCAGTGGATATCCAGGGCCTCCACCCATCCCTGCACTTTATGTCCAGTAAAGTGCGAGCCCTGGTCACTGTTGATATCAGCGGGGATGCCATAGGCTACACATGGCTGCTCTAGTTCTTTTATGATGGTTTTCTGGATGGCACTTTTGCTGGGATACATCTGCAGCAGCCCTGTGCAGGTGTCTGCACAAGTCAAGGCAAAGCTGCAGCTATCGGATAGAGGAAAAAAGTCCTATGTAGTTACCTGCTATCATGGGCTCTAACCCCAGCTGAGGGGTCCAGTATCATATGGCAAGGGCCTGGAGCGTTCCTGTGCTTCTCATTGTAGCAGCCATATGATGAGTCCCTTGAAGATGGCCCAGCTACCAGTGCACAGGACTCTTGGGTCCAGCTCATGGGGGAAGACCATCCAGGTGGCTCATAGCTCACCCCATTGGCTACTGTGTCCTTTGCCTGTATCAAGCCAGGAACTATCAGTGGATGGCTGGATGGCTACAGATGTCCAAGCGCAAGAATTGCCTTACCATGAGCCATGTATGTACCAGCCCTAGTTATGAATTGGACTTTGTCCCTCCATATGAAGGAGGGAATCTGTGAGGTTCAGTGGCCTCCATCAAAGACTGTCCTTCAGTTCTCATACAGGTGACAGGACCAAGCACAATTGGAGCTCTGTGCTCAAGGTGTAATTGGTTAATGTGCTCCTCTGTTGCAAATATGTATGTCATTTGGCCACAGTTTGTGTCTGGCATTCCCAGACTTTGGTTTCTGGAAGGTATCCTTCAGCCAACCTGCTATAAGGTGCTGAGTGCATACTAGCACCCCCTTTGCAATGCCCTGCATTTGTTGTAAGGCATGGTATGTAGTGCAGAGTTGCTGTTCCATGGCACTACATCTAAATTCAGCCCCCTTACATAGTTAAGACCAGAATCTCAAAGGCATATGTTTATGTCCTTGCCTTTGCCACAGGCCCCACCTAAACTCCTCAGGGTAACTGGCTACATCCAGTTCACATGGCTGTCCCTGCACTAGAACTCCCAAGGCTTATGTTTATTCCACCACAAGTTTTCAGAGACCTCATCTTCCTCTGTGGACCCAGTCCCAGTGGTATATAGGCCTAAGGAGTTGGGCCAAATGGTGAATAAAAGGATGCCTATATCCTAGAGGGCCTAAGAAGGTTTGCAACTACTTTGATGTGGTAGGACGTTGGTGGGCATGCACCTGATCCATAACAGCGGACTGAATGACTATGGTCTTGCCTGACCAGATGACACCCAAATATTTGACTGACAAGCCTAGACCCTGGACATTGTGTTGATCACCCATCCTCTGCTTGCCAAGTGGGACAGCAAGGTGGGGACTGCAATTTATAAGCTCGAAAAAGACTCAGAAGTTAATGGAAAAACTCGCCAGGGTGGTATCCTTGGGGTAAGACGGTAAAGGTCCACTGTTCTTCCCAGGTGAATGCAAATTGGTCTTGACTCTCTGGGGCAATGAGGATGCTGAAAAAGGGTTGGCTAAATCTATAGCAAAATAACATTTGCCCAGCACCTCTCCTACCCTTGTCAGAAGACAGGCAACATTGGGAACAGTGGCATACACTGAGGGGACCAACTTAATTCCTGGCAATCTACTATCATTCTCCATGTCCCATCAGGCTTCCACATGGGCCACACAGGGCTGTTGTACGGGCTGTGCACTGGCCTTATACTGCTTACCCAGGCTAACTCCCTAACATTCCCCATCATTTCATCACGCACATCCCGACCCACACTCCAGCAGGCAGTATTTCAACAGTACCAGTGTCTACTTCGCGTTTCCCCTGATCACACTCTTCACCATCCTAACTCTCAATCCAAATGCCCCAACAGTTGTTTAGAGGGTCAAGCATGACAGGTTATCAATTCCCAAGATGTACCCCGGGATGGGAGCTATGTATACTAAATAGGGTTTTGATGTTAGTCTCCTAACTTGTAATACTAATTCAACCTGTCTGACTTCCATGGCCCCGTCCATAACCATCTATGCTGTTAAAGATCTTTTGGAACCAATGAATTTTACCATATACGAGTACATTCAGCTCCAGTATCTACTAGGGCAAGAATAGTCTGTTTATTCTTTGGTGACCAATATATGGTTAGTTCTACAAGTGGTCTCCAGTCCCTGGACACCCCAGCCACCACTGCTTCTATCAGGACTCCAGGGCCATCTTCCCCCTAGTCTAAAGGGGCTGGTGCCTGCCTCCCTTTGCAGGAGGGGCAGTGGGCCGGGCGTGAGGCTCCTTAGGGAAGTGCTATTCTGGCTTAAGCTTCTGCCATAGTCCATCCGCTCTTGCAGTAAGCATTCCTGCCACTACCAGACCACACCACATCTGTGGGCACATCTGTGGGCAGACCATCCTGATGAGACCATTGTCTCCTTTCCTTTGGCTCCTCTGTCTTTCATTCCAGCAGCACACACCCCTTGTCTACACAGTTTGCCTGTCTCCCCTAAGTCAGTGGTCACCCAAAACACTAGCTGTCCTACCAAGAGGTCCAGGATAGACATTAACACACAGTATCAATTGGTTGGGTTGTGTGCCGAATGGGAGATGGCTTCTTTTGTGCCAGCAGTGAAAAGCTCATGATTGGGACCTTTGTAATGCTCAATGTAGATTGCATGCCCCATTCCTAATTCCCAGAGGATGTCTCACAATTCCTCCATACTCTGCCATCGCAAAGGAGATGTGGGGACTTCCCCCTCATTTGGCCAGGCTGCCTTAAAGCTGTCAACCACCCAGCAGAGGGTGATAGCCTGATCCCCATTACTGGCACCAAAAAGGTGCTGCCTCAGGGCTAGCTGGTTTGTGATGGATGCCATTTTATTCATTGGGAGTACAGAAACTCTCATACCCTCCATCCCTATGTCCCATAGATGGAGGAGCCACCCTTGATCGACTCTCTCCCCTTCTGTCTGAGCCTATTTTCCAGCTCCACCAATTGTACAGTGGTGTAGTCCTGCATTGCAGCGTGCTGCCATCTTTTAGTTAGGGACAAGTCTTGTGGGGCTACACCCTGTGGGAGCAGTTGGTCTACTTTTATTTTGGTGATGACCATTAGATGCACAGAGAAGATGAAGATGGGAACCTCTATGAGCTTGTCCCAATCTTCACCCTCCTCCCCACTACAGCCCTCCATTAGGTCCCAGGACTTACAGTCCCAGGATTGCTTAGTCCTTATGCTGGCAACCCTTCAAACGAGCTACCTGACAAGCCAGGGTCTCCACTTTGTCATTCCGTGCCCACAGGTCCCGGGACAGTAAGGTCTTGGATGTTTCAGCCCTAACTAATCTAGCATCCCTTTCTAACTGCAGTTTGTCCTGTAACTGATAAACCCTCATCTGTGCTGCAAAATCAGCCTCCATGGCTGCTCAGTGCTCAGTCACAAGCAGCAGCCAACTGCAGCTGCCACAGCTCGGGCAACTGACCCTCCTTCAGTCAGATCTGTCCCCTGCAACAACTCTTCCAGACCCTTCAGCATTTTGGAGGGATTCACATACTCAGTGGGCCCCATTCATCAAAGAGAGCGGTTATAGCGCCCCACATAGACATGGACAGCCAGCTCAGGATGTCCCCTGAAGATTTCCCTTCCCCGACTCCATTGTCTCAATGCTCACAGGATTTTCTCCACCCTCCTGGCTGGCTCGCCAATTGACATGCTAGACCCTTATTAACTTTAATAGAGACATCACCAGGTTCAAGAGGCCAAAGAAGACCTGGGGCCAAGCAGCTAAGCAAAGGAGACAAAGAGTTTCATTAACAGGAAACTTACACACAGGGGCAGTTGAGTGGCAGCAGGCTGATCGGGAGAACTGTACAGCTCAGTGACCATGGGCTGGGCAAGAGAATCATATGATGCAGTGGCAGGGAGCTGGGCAGGAGAACCACAACCACTTGCGAAAAGCATGCAGTCTATATAGCATTTTCTTTTAGCACCCTGCCCCTAACAGCCTCCCCCGGCAACCTTCATTTCATTTAACCCAGAAAGGGACTTTGATCCTCAATCCCCTGTACATCTCACATTCCATCAGACAAGACTCAAAATACAGAAGTTCTTCATAGCTAAGGAATAATCTACAGGATAGCCACACCCAGCTTCCTTAGCTCAGAACTCCAAACACACATTCGGGTCCATCTGCCACAAAAGGTCATCCTCAAGTTACGCTTAAGTTAAGCTATTGCTATCAGATGCATCTGCCATGCAATGCTAAGCAGCTTGGCTTAAGAGTGATGGTTTGCTGAAAAGGAGCCTGGCTTTGGCATCAGATAACCCTTGGACCAGATCCTGGTCTCACCACTTATTACTGGTGAATTCTTGATAAATTTTTTGAAATTTTCTGAACCCCTTACTCCTTATCTATAAAATAGGAATAAGATGACCCTGGTACAGCTGGGAGGATTAAATTAAGGGACCTAACACGTAAATTACCTAGAAATGCCTGGCTGGTCTAAAATTGGGATTTATTTGTATTTTGCCTCTTTGGAGAGCTAACTGTGCCAAAAGGAGAGGGTAACAAGATCCTTTATCTACACATCATGTCCATCAGGAAAAATTATGTCACCACATTATAATTTTCTCCGGTCAAGTCCTCCTCAAAAGTAAGAAAATCATGGGTAACCCCAAATCACACATTTCAGAAAGACACAGCAAGGAGTTGGCTATTCAGTGATCCAGGGTGATCTTTTTTCTGTCATCATATCAATGTCTTCTCTTGGCCTATCTTTTCTAATTGGAATATGCTTTTTCTGAACAAATTTCCATTGCTCCACTTTTCCCACACATCTGTAGGTCAGTGACACCTAGAGAAGAGGGAAGCACTGAATTTTGCTTTTCATAAACGGAACAAGCTCAAGCAAGCCACCTTTTCACATCAGGGGAAAAGCTCTTCTTGGCTTGAGAAACTCAAGGCTCCTACCAAACTAACTTATTTTAATTGAACCCAGTTTTTCAATACCTAATCTGAAACTGGGTTGGGCGCAGGGGCTCATGCCTGTAATCCCAGCACTTTGGGAGGCCGAGATGGGCACATCACCTGAGGTCAGGAGCTCGAGACCAGCCTGGCCAACATGGTGAAATCCCACCTCTACTAAAATACAAAATTTGGCTGGGCATGGTGGCTCACGCCTGTAGTCCAAGCTACTCAGAAGGCTGAATGGGAGAATCACTTGAACCCAGGAGGCAGAGTTTGCAGTGAGCCAAGATCATGACACTGCACTACAGCCTGGGCAACCAGAGCAAGACTCCACCTCAAAAATAAATAAACAAATAAATTAAATAAATAAATAAATAAATAAATAGAAAAATTGCAACTGAAGATAGAAGAAAAAATTTAAGAAGAATTTATGCTCTCTGTGAGGTTGAGGATCTTAAAGAATGAAAACAGGGTCAGAAACCTAAAAAAAAGAAAAAAGAAAAGTGAGTTTGTGCTCACAAAAGGAATTAAGGAGAATGAAGAAGCGCTTTGCAAACATACTGAGAGAGAGAGGCTCAAGAGAAAATGAGCCTCCTAATGAAGGAGGAGGCATGCTAAATTAATTATGCCTTTGAAATACTGACCTCATTCCTTAAAGCTATCACAACCCTGAAAAGAAAGAAAAGACATCTGTACAAGTTAGAAGTAATGGAGCCTGTAAGGAATTAGCCGTCTATCAAGACCAATAAAGGGGATATTTAGAGAACTGGAACAAATGCACATCAACAGGTCTCAGTGCCTTTTACTTACAGGCAATTTCTTGAATAGCACTTAGGTTTTCTCTTCTGAAAAGAAATACAAACATTACCTGAAAGTTCAGGGGAATAGCAATGTGGATTGCACAACCCAAAGTAGAAAAGCCCTTGAAATTGCAGACTTCCAAGTATGATGGCTCCAATAATAGAAACAAAATATATACATAGGAAGGCTTTATTAAAATAAGTCTACACTGAGCCTCAGGGTTTTTGTGGGGTATTTTTTTTTCAATAACATTGATAAAATAGGAGTGGTCATCACTGGAACATTTATTAAATTCCTTGTTTATTAACTGAGTAATTTGAGCAAGTCACTTTCTGAGTTCAGTTTTCTAAGTTCATTTTCTCCTCTTCATATTCTACTTAAAGTTTTTTTGAAGATTGACTATGCATGGATAAATGATAGAAAGTGCTGAGCAGAGTGCCTGATGTACCAGAAGCCATAATTATTATTGATCATTATTATGATCACTCCATTTACAGTTGATAAAATGTTCCCATATCCTCCTTGAGTTCCTGTTGTTGCATTTGCTCTCTGAATTTATTTCTCTGTAAAGTCACGGTACTTGCCTAGCATGGTAGCTGAATGTGGATATAAGTTGAGTGGCATCTAAAGGCATAGGTTTAAATCCCAGTTCCTCCACTTAATTGTGTGACTTAGGGCAAGTCCTTTGACTTGTCCACATATCTCCTTTCTCACCCACAAAATGGAAAAATTGAGACCTATCTTTCAGGGCTATAGTGAGAACTAACTGAAATCATGTATATAAGGGCTTAGCATAGTAACTGATATACCACAAGCACTCATGAAT